>NC_000001.11:53644744-53796259 GCF_000001405.40 Homo sapiens | reverse complement strand
GACTGTAAGATGCATCTCAACAGGTCATATTCAAGATATGGAAAACATGCATAAGAAGGAAGAAATTTGATATAAGTCTTAACTAGAAAAACAGAGCAAGGAAGACAGAGAGTTCCTAAGGGAGAGGGTATCATTTTATGTGGAGTGATAAGGGGAAGTCTCATTGATAAGGCAATGATTGATCAGAGACCTGAAGGGAGAGCTGGGAGCAGCCCAGTGCATCTGAGATGGGAATGGCCTTGGCTTGTGTGAAGAACAATGTGGATACCAGTGTGGCTGGAGCAGAGTGAGTGAGGGGAGAGTGGTAAGTGGGTGATAAGATCAGAAAGGTAGCAGGCACCCAGGGCTCATTGGCTGTAGTAAAGACTGGCTTCATCTCTGAGTGGGATGGAAAGTCACCGTATGGTCTTGCCCACAAGAATGATATGATGTAACTTATATTTTGAAAGTGCTGCTCTAGGGGCTGTGTTGGGACTAAACTCTTGCAAGGTAGGCATGTAAGCCCAGAGACGGTGTTAAGGTGTTAAGTAATCTAGTGGGAGATGGTGGTATCTGGGACCAGAGTGGTAGTGGTGGGGGCTGTAAGATGTGGTCAAGGTCTAGGTATGTATTTTAAGTTAGATGGAATAGGATTAGCTTATGGTTTGGTTGTGGTGTATACTAGAAAGAGTCAGTGTTCACTGGTAAGGTTTTTGGCCTGAAGATCTGGAATAATATAGTTGCAATTTATTGAGTTGGAATTTACTGATGATTCTGGAGAAGGAGATTTGATAGAGGTGAGGGGAGGGAAATCAGGAGTTTGATTTTGGACAAGCCAATTTTGAGATACCTATGAGACAACCAGGTGAAAATACTTAGTAAGAAATTAGGCATATAGCGGTAGTGTAGGGGAAAGTTCTGGGCTAGAAATGTAACTTTGGAAGTTTTCAGAGTATAGATAGTATTCAAAGCATGAGACTCGATGCAAACTCTTGAATGTAAATACAGAAGAAAAGAGATATCCAAGAAAGGGGCCCTCCAATGGCTAAAAGTTTGGGAGATAAAGAATAGCAACAGAGACTGAGGTGGGTAGAAATCCAAGAAAAGAAAGAGTTTCAAGGAGGAGAAGGTGGGAGTGTCAGATGCTGCTGATGGGTAGCATGGGGCGGGAACTAAGAATTAACTGTTGAGCTAGAAATGCGGAGGTCACTGAGTCCTTGACAAGAGCTGTTGGCTGGAGTAGTGGGGACAAAAAAATGCATGAGTTCAGGAGAGATTGGTAGACGAATTGGAGACCACAAGAAAAACCACATTTTTCAAGGAATTTGTTGTAAGTGGAACAGAAAAATGGGGCAATAGCTGGGAGGAATTGAGGGGTCAAGGAACTTTTTTAAAAATTTTGAGATGGGTTCTTGGTCTGTCTGTTGCTCAGGCTGGAGTGCAGTGGTATGATCATGGCTACACTGCAGCCTTGAACTCCCGGGCTCAAGTGATCCTCCCACCTCAGCCTCCTGAGTAGCTGGGACTACAGGTGCCTGCCACCATGCCTGCCTAATTTTTTTAATTTTTATTTTTTGTAGAGACACAGTCTCTATGTTGCCCAGGCTGATCTCAAACTCTTGGCCTCAAGCAGTCATCCTGCCTGAGCCTCATAAAGTGTTGGAATTACAGGCGCGAGCCACCACGCCCAGTCATGTTTTTATTTTTTAAGATGGGAGAAATTATAACATGTTTGCTGATGGAATGACTGATTAATAGGGAATGAATGGTTAAAGGCATTTCATAAACTTCGGGATCCCATACGGCTCTATATGCCATTAGTACTGCCGTGTCACTTTCTACCCAACCAGACACGTGCTGCTTGCTGCAGCCTTCTGACTAGTCATGCAGCTTTGGGTGAGAGTATGGTAGGAGCAGATTCACTTTTAAGTTAGTTGGGTTAGCTTTTAGCTGATACTAAGAACACTTTTTCCCCCGGAATTGTCAACTAGTAGAAAACTACTTTGTGTCTTAAGATATTTTTTTTCCTGTAATCTCAGCACTTTGGGATGCCACAGTGGGAACATTGCTTGAGCCCGGGAATTCGAGACCAGCATGGGCAACATGGCAAAACCCCATCTCTACTAAAAATACAAAAATTAGCTGGGTGTGGTGGTGCATTCCTGTAGTCCTAGCTACTTGGGAGGCTGAGGTAGGAGAATCACCTGAGCCCAGAAAGCAGAGGTTGCAGTGAGCTATGAATGTGCCACTGCACTCCAGCATGGGTGATAGAGTGAGACCCTGTCTCAAAAAAAAAAAGATTTTTTTTTCCCTGTGAGAGAAACATACTCTTTTTTTGGGTATTAAAAGGTTAAAGGGCAGGACAGTTATAGAGAATCGAGAAATAATGTGGCCTTGAAAAATATCTCCAGTCTGTAATCCTAGCACTTTGGGAGGCTGAGGTGAGAGGATTGCTTGAGTCCAGGAGTTTGAGACCAGCCTGGGCAAGATGGTGAGACCCTGTCTGTACAAAAACATTTAAAAATTAACCGGACATGGTGGTGTGCCTGTATTCCCAGCTACCCAGGAGGCTGAGGTGGGAGGATCTGTTGAGCCCAGAAATTTGAGGTGGCAGTAAGCTGTGATCATAAAACTGCACTCCAGCCTAGGTGACAAAGCGAGACCCTGTTTCTGAAATAAAAAAGAAAAAAGAAAAAAGAAAAAAATTTCACCAAAACCACTTAGAATTAATTAATTTTTTTTTATGTCAGGGCTCTAATTTGGGGGTTAAACGTGTATACATGGGAATACAGTTTAGTTGGCTCATCTTGGTTGTCCAATTTGTAGCACAAAGGTATTTAGTTACATGGCGTATTGTTTAAGTATTATTATTCTTTGCCCACAAGATGTGAAGTGTTTCATTTTTTCATTTAAGTTACTGTCTGGAAGAACTAGGAAATGTGTTATATTTGAATAGAATTTAAAAGGTAAATGTGTTAATTCTTCCTTTTTTCCAACTCAGATTAAGAATTTCTTGTCAAAACGGGTGCTGATAATGTATTTTTTCAGTAAGGTAAGAATATGTGGTTATAGCGTTGGGAATGGGGAGGGAGGAAATGAAATATGAAATAAAGTAGCAGATAGGATCTGACTTGTAAATATTTTATAGCTTAATCCTAGCAAGCTAGGCAGCTTTGCATAGTGCTTCACTGAACCTCCGTTTTAACAATAGTTGCCCTAGACACACATCTCACTTCAGTGGCTTCTGAAGCTTGACTCTCTAGTTGCCTCTCGTATCTCTTGGCTGCTGGCAGCTTTGTGCTGATAGGCAACACAGACCCCTTCCTGCTGTCTGGATCTTCACAAAGTGAACACATTTGTGTGGCTATCTGGTGCTTCTTGGCTCACGTCCTGCTAGCGTCTTTGTGACCATTTTGGTGTTCAAAAGAGAGATGATGATATCACAGATGTTAAATTTATGATGAATAAAAAATTATAATTCAGACCACACATGAAATGACTTCCCAACTTGTGTATCAGCTGTTCCAGCTGCCACAGGAGAGTAAATCTCAGTTGTAGAAGCTAAAGATTGATTCCTGTTTTTGCTGGCTACGACTGTTGTGTCTCTATTTAATCCTTTGATGTGCAAAACCTTTGCCCCTATGTAGGGGAAAGAATTTTTGTTTTTAGCTTTTAAAATCTAGCCTCTCTTTCTGCAGATATTGCAGTATTATCTAATATCACGCTCACTCCATTAATACCTTCAAGTGAAAGTTTATATTGGCATCTGTTATATTTATTATTTCGGAGTCATACTCTGGTGGAAAAGAGGTCTGAGCAACCCTGATAGAATATAGATAACGCATAACAGTCATTTCAGGGGCTTGAAACTGCTTTTCCACTATGGTGGAAGGGACGATCCACCCAACTAGCCATTACCTTTACCAAAAAATAATCCACCCTGGTCTGCCCATTAGAGGAAGGTGTCTTGTCTTCCACCAAAAGGAAGAGGGGTTGTCTGAAGTTTTACTTCAGTGCTTGGTTTCAAAAGAAGGGGAAAGGCCGGGCATGGTGGCTCACACCTGTAATCCCAGCACTTTTGGAGGCCAAGGCGGGCGGATCACGAGGTCAGGAGATCAAGACCATCCTGGCTAACACGGTGAAACCCTGTCTCTACTAAAAATACAAAAAATTAGCCAGGCGCAGTGGTGGGCGCCTGTGGTCCCAGCTACTCGGGAGGCTGAGGCAGGAGAATGGCATGAACCCGGGAGGCGGAGCTTGCAGTGAGCCGAGATAGAGCCACTGGAGTCCGGCCTGGGTGAAAGAGCGAGACGCCGTCTCAAAAAAAAAAAAAAGAAGAAGGGGAAAATAACTCACTATGAGTGTCTTATGTGTGCCATACTCTGTTTTCGCTTCAGTTCCCTCATTTAATTCTAACAGCATTCCTGTGAGATATGTCTTTTTATCCTCATTTTACAGATAAGGAAACCTGAGGCTCAGAGGAGTCATATAGTTAGCCTAAGGGCACAGAGACAGTAAGTGGCAGACCACATGGTGACCAAGATCTCCTGTTTTCTTGAAAGTGAAAGGCTAATTTTCATCCCAGTTTTGCAAGTGGGTCTATTATATGATAAATTATAGACACTGCTGCTATTTGATGTTAAAAAATGTAACTTAATAGACTTGTTGTATGGTACTTAGTAGGCTTCATTGGGTACATAACCAAAGACAGCATTTGTTCAAATGGACCAGTTGTTCCACACTATTCCATGGTGGTACGTTAAAGAAGGGTAGGCAGCATGAAATTGTGTCATTTACAGCAACATGGATAGAATTGGACATCATAATCTTTTTTTTTTTTTTTTTCAGACGGAGTCTCGCTCTGTCGCCCAGGCTGGAGTGCGGTGGCGCGATCTGGGCTCACTGCAAGCTCGGGCTCACTGCAAGCTCCGCCTCCCAAGTTCACGCCATTCTCCTGCCTCAGCCTCCTGAGTAGTTGGGACTACAGGCACCTGCCACCACGCCTGGCTAATTTTTTGTATTTTTAGTAGAGACGGAGTTTTAGCGTGTTAGCCAGGATGGTCTCGATCTCCTGACCGCGTGAGCCACCTCGCCTGGCCGGACATCACAATCTTAAGTGAAATAAGTCAGGCACAAAAAAATAAATATTGCACGTTCTTACTTACGTATAGAAGCTAAAACATTTGATCACATGGGAGTAGAGTGGAAAGATAACAGAGACTGGGAAGGATGGGTAGAGGGTAGGAGGAGGATGGAGAGAAGTAGGTTAAAGGGTACAAATATACAGTTAGAAGGAATAAATCCAATGTTTGATACCAGAGTAGGATGATTACAGTTAACAAAAACATATTATACTCAGGTGATAGGATACCCAAAATGCCGTGACTTGATCATCATGCATTATATACGTGTAACAAAATTTCACATGTACTCCATAAATTTGTGCAAATAAAAACATTTTTTACGTGAAGGTTAGGCGGTTTTTCTTTGAGTGGGGTTGAGGGTAGACAATTTAAAAGAGATAACAAGTAGGCAGTTTTGTTGTTGTTGTTGTTGTTGTTTATTTATTTATTTGAGACGAAGTCTTGCTCTGTCGCCCAGGCTGGAGTGCAGTGGCATGATCTCGACTCACTGCAACCTCTGCCTCCCGGGTTCAAGCGATTCTCCCACTGCAGCCTCCCAAGTAGCTGGGACTACAGGCGTGCGCCACCACATAGGCTAATTTTTTGTATTTTTAGTAGAGACGGAGTTTTACCACGTTGACCAGGCTGGTCTCAAACTCCTGACCTCAGGTTATTGGCCCTCCTCAGCCTCCCAAAGTGCTGGGATTACCAGCGTGAGCCACCGCGCCCAGCCAATTTTTTTATTTTTATTTTTTATTTTATTTATTTTGGTTTTTTGGGGTTTTTTTTTTTGAGACAGAGTTTTGCTCTTGTCGCCTAGGCTGGAGTGCAGTGGCGTGATCTCAGCTCATTACAACCTCTGCCTCCCGGGTTCAAGTGATTCTCCTGCCTCAGCCTCCCAAGTAGCTGGGACTACAGGCACGTGCCACCATGCCCAGCTAATTTTTCTATTTTTAGTGGAGACAGGGTTTCGCCATGTTGGCCAGGCTGGTCTCGAACTCCTGACCTCAGGTGATCCACCCACCTCATCGTCCCAAAGTGCTGGGATTACATGCGTGAGCCACCACTTCCAGCTATCCCAGGCTGGAATGCACTGGTATGATCTTGGCTCGCTGCAATCTCGACCTCCTGGATTCAAGCAATTCTCCTGCCTCAGCCACCCAAATAGCTGGGACTCTAGGTGCATGCCACCACACCTAGCTAATTTTTGTATTTTAGTAGAGATGGGGTTTCAGCATGTTGGCCAGGCTGGTCTCAAACTCCTCATCTCAAATGATCTACCCACCTCGGCCTCCCAAAGTGCTAGGATTACGGGCATGAGCCACCACGCCTAGCCAAAATTTTTTTTTTTTTTTTTTGAGATGGAGTTTCACTCTTGTTGCCCAGGCTGGAGTGCAATGGCGCGATCTCAGCTCACTGCAACCTCTGCCTCCCAGGTTCAAGTGATTATCCTGCCTCAGCTTCCTGAGTAGCTGGGATTACAGGCACCTGCCACCACGCCCAGCTAATTTTTTGTATTTTTAGTAGAGACAGGGTTTCACTATATTGGCCAGGCTGGTCTCGAACTCCTGACCTTGGCCTCCCAAAGTGCTGGAATTACAGGCATGAGCCACTGCACCCAGCCCCAGCCAAGTTTTTTAAAAAGAGTTTCTGTAACCATTCTCTTAAGTGATCTCAGAACTGATCTCTGAGGTGGGTTGAGTATATGTAACTTTAAATTGGAAACTGAGACACAGAGATTTAGAGACTTGGCAAGGGCCACACAATGAGTTGATGGTAGAGTGCTTTATTATAGTTAAATGAGTAATTATCAAGTTAAATATAAAAGAATTTATTTTAAATTTTAATTCTTGAGAGGCAGCTGTGAATTTTTTGTTTTGTGGTCTACATATTTAATTAAAGGAAATAATGGAGTTTTTGCTCAGGGGAATTCACTTGAATGTTTTTGTTTTTATTTGTAGCACCCAGAGGCCTCCATTCAGGCTGTTTTTTCAGATGCCCAAATGCATATTTGGGCATTAGAAGGTAAGCAATGACTGTGAACTGTAACTATGATTTTAATTGTCAGTTAAATATTGAAGTATAATTCATGAAAGGTCAGTTCTGGTCCTTGATTTCAGTCTTTGAATGTACAGATTCGTTTTTATATCTTTGTTTTATATAGATCATTTTGAAAAATATATTTAGGCGTATTTTGATTTGGGCACAATTTTTTCTTGTATGTAAGCAGAGAAACTGAGCCTGGGTTCTTTTTTTTTTTGGAGACAGAGTTTTGCTCTGTTGTCCAGGCTGTAGTGCAGTGTTATGAACATGGCTCACTGTATCCTCAACCTTCTGGGCTCAAACAATCCACCTCAGCCTCCTGAGTAGCTGGGGCCACAGTTGCATACCACCACGCCCTGTTAATTTTTGTTTTAAAAACTTTTTTGTGGGCCAGTTGCGGTGGCTCACGCCTGTAATCCCAGCACTTTGGGAGGCAGAGGCAGGTGGATCACCTGAGGTCAGGAGTTCGAGACCAGCCTGGCCAGCATGGTGAAATCCCTTCTCTACTAAAAATACAAAAATTAGCCGGGCATGCTGGCATGTGCCTATAACCCAGCTACTCGGGAGGCTGAGACCAGAGAATCGTTTGAACCCAGGAGGCAGAGGTTGCAGTGAGTTGATATCACACCACTGCACTCCAGCCTGGGTAACAAATAGCGCAACTCCATCTCAAAAAAAAAAATTTTTTTTTTGTAGGGACGAGGTTATCTAGGCTGGTCTCAAACTCCTGGGCTCAAGTGATCTTCCTGCCTTGACCTCCCAAAGTGATGAGATTACAGGTGTGAGCCACCACACTTAGTCTTTTTGTTTGTTTGTTTGAAGAGATGGAGTCTTGCTGTGTCTCCCAAGCTGGAGTTCAATGGCATGATCATAGCTCACTGCAACCTTAAACTCCTGGGCTCATGCAATCCTCCTCCCTCAGCCTCCTGAGTAGTTTGGACTACAGGTGCATGCCACCACGCCCAGCTAAGTTTTATATTTTTTGTATAGAGACAGGGTCTTGCTAAGATGCCCAGGCTGTTGAGCCTGGATTCTTTTATATCTTTCTCTACTTCAAAAAAGTGCAACAGATAGATTGTTTTTAACTTATGTTAACTTATGTTAAATATGAAAACTTAGTTGTTAAAGAGCTGTTTCTTTTCATCTTATAGATACAGCCGTCTCAGTGCTTAAATGTTGCTCAGAGGCCTTTCCTGACCATTCTCTGAATACTGTATGCCCTTACCACATGTTTTTTTTTTTTTTTTTAATTTCCTGGCACATATTATTACGCAACACTATATTATTTTTAAAATTTTCTTCCTAATAGAATGTAAAGCCAGAGACTGTTATTTTATTCATTACTAATGCAATTGAGTACTTTTTTCAGTGCCTATTCCAATTTTTTTGCCCGTTTTTCTATTGAATTGCTCCTCCCTTTATTTATTTATTTATTTATTTATTTATTTATCTATTTATTTATTTTACTTTTTATTTTCGAGACAGTCCCACTCTGTTGCCCAGGCTGGAGTGCAGTGGTGTGATCTTGGCTAACTTCAACCTCTGCCTCCTGGGCTCAAGTAATCCTCCCACCTCAGCCTCTCGAGTAGCTGGGACTATAGGTTTGTGGCACCACACATGGCTAATTTTGTAGAGAGGGGGTTTCACCATGTTGCCCAGGCTCGTCTTGAACTCCTGGGCTCAAGCGATCTGCCTGCCTCAGCCTCCCAGAGTGCTAGGATTACAGGTGTGAGCCACCGTGCCCAGCCTTTATTTCTTTTTATATTCAGAATATTAATCCTTCCTAAAATAGATGTATTTCAAATAGTTTTGCCTAATTTTGATTGACTTTTAACCTTTTTTTTTTTTCCCTTGAGGTCTGTCGCACTTAGTAGCAGCATCATTTACAGAGGATAGATTTGGAGTTGTCCAGACGACACTACCAGCTATCCTTAATACTTTGTTGACACTGCAAGAGGTAAGAAATCTGTGGGTTGGGAGGGGGTAGAGGTCATCTTCCCCTCCCACCCAGTGCTTTGTTTGTTTCCTATATATCACATTTATCGAGTGACAAAACATGTTGGAAGTTAAAATAATGATACTTTTTCACCCTCAGGAAATTACAATCTAAAAGACAGAAAAGATGCTGGTGTGGCTCATGCCTATAATCCTAGCACTTTGGGAGGCTGAGGCTGGAGGGTCGCTTGAGGTGGAGAGTTTGAGATCAGCCTAAGCAACATGGCAAGACTCGGTTTTTACAAAAAATAAAAAATTAGCTGGCCATGGTGGTGTATGCTTGTAGTCCCAGCTACTCAGGAGCCCGAGGTGGGAGGATCGTTGGAGCCAGGAGTTTGAGGCTGCAGTGAGCTACGATTTCACCACTGCACTGCAGCCTGGGTAACAGAGCGAGACCCTGTCTCTATTTTAAAAAACAAAACTAAAAGATAGTTTGGAAGAGAAAACTTTTAATCTGCTTATAAAATTTTACAGAAACAGAAAAAGAAAGTATACTAAACCTGTAGGATATGCCCCTGGTATTAAACACATTGTTTAAAATACTAGACTTCTGTTCACTGACAAAAGTAAATCCTTACACAATTTGTAGCTACCAAAAGTGACCTGTGATTAAATGACCCATGCAGATAAATGCCCTATTGGGTTGAGGCTCAAGAACTGAGGCCAGTAGATGCCTATCACCAGGCTTGATGGCTAGTTTTAGCTAATAGGTTTTCTTGGTCCTAGACTTAAAGAGGAGCAAAAAATAAAACACATGCTTTCTGCTTTGCAGTAGGCTTCTTTTTCTAACTTCATGTTACTTGGTACTTTTTATGTCACCTTATAATATTAGTTACGTGTCACATGACAGCTATAAACACTAAGGGCTGGAGGCATTTAGAGATGGCATCTGGAGGCCGGGTGCAGTGGCTTGTACCTATAATCCCAACACTTTGGGAGGCTGAGGTGAGCAGATCACCTGAGCTCAGGAGTTCAAGACCAGTCTGGGCAACATGGTAAAACCCTATCTCTACAAAAAAATAGAAAAATTAGCTGGGTGCAGTGGTGTGAGCCTGTAGTCCCACCTACTCGGGACGCTGAGGCAGGAGAATCGCTTGAACCCAGGAGGCAGAGGTTATGGTGAGTGGAGATCGTGCCACTGCACTCCAGCCTGGACCACAGAGTGAGACCTTGTCTCAAAAGTAAATAAATAAATAAATAAATAAATAAATGAATAAAAATAGCATCTGGTGTATATAGTAGGCCTTCTGGAGGAAGTGGAATTGAACTAGGCTTAAATGATAACTGGTGCATCTTTTGGTCTTGGGAAACCATTTAAGATATGAAGAGAAGCCTGGGCAACATGATGAAACTCTGTCTCTACAAAAAAGTTTTAAAAAATTAGCGAGGTGTGGTGGTGCGCACCTATAGTCCCAGCTACTTATGAGGCTGACGGGGGAGAACCGCTTGAACCCGGGAGGTAGAGGTTGCAGTGAGCCAAGATTATGCCATTGCACTCCAGCCTGGGTGACAGAGTGAGACCCTGTCTCAAAAAAATAAAAGATAATGAAGAGGAAATATGCTTCTCCATTTCTTTCTTTAACACTCAATTCATTTTACCTATTAGAAAATCTTACCCATCAAAGCCAGTGATTCTTTTGCTTTGAGCACTTTTTGTGAGTACCTTCTCATGTATGTTACTTGAGATGTGTGTGTCTACATGGATAGTTTTATTATTTGTACTCTTTCCCAAGTGCCATTCTGTAAATAAATAGTTTCCTAGCAATTCCCTGCAGCTTCGAATATTTGGTTTATCTGACTGCACAATAGGATGACCATGATTTGGGCATATCTTTGATGGTCATAACATTATTTTTTGTCACTCTGGCAGTGTAGTTAAAACAACAATAATGGTACAGTGTTTATAGTCTAGAGTAATGTGATATCATTATTATTTGATCTTTATAACCATCTTGTGAAGTCAGCAAGGTGGAAGTGTTTTCACCCTTTTTTAATAGATGAGGGAGGCTTAGTAGTACAGTGACTTACCTCAGATCTCACACACAATCTCCTAGGTGGCAGAGCTGGAACTAGAACCCAGTCTGATTGCAGGGCATTAGCAGTGCAGTAGACCCTGGAAAAAGCTACAGATCCACATCCCTCCCCCGCTTTTTTTTTTTTTGAGATTGAGTCTCTGCTCTGTTGCCCAGGCTGGAGTGCAGTGGCGTGATCTCAGCTCACTGCAAGCTCCGTATCCTGGTGTCAAGTGATTCTCCTGCCTCAGCCTCCCGAGTAGCTGGGAGTACAGGCACATGCCACTATGCCCAGCTGATTTATGTTTTTTTTTTTTGAGACAGAGTCTCGCTCTTTCGCCCAGGTTGGAGTGCAGTGGTGTGATCTCAGCTCACTGCAAGCTGTGCCTCCCGGGTTCACACCATTCTCCTGCCTCAGCCTCCTGAGTAGCTGGGACTACAGGTGTCTGCCACCACGCCCAGCTAATTTTTGTATTTTTAGTAGAGACGGGGTTTCACCGTGTTAGCCAGGACGATCTTGATCTCCTGACCTCGTGATCCACCTACCTCGGCCTCCCAAAGTGCTGGGATTATAGGCGTGAGCCACTGCGCCCGGCCTGATTTGTGTATTTTTAGTAGAGATGGGGTTTCACCATGTTGGCCAAGCTGGTCTCAAACTCCTGACCTCAGGTAATCCGCCTGCCTCGGCCTCCCAAAGTGTTGGGATTGCTGCAGGCGTGAGCCACTGCGCCTGGCTTGATCCACATCCCTTATTCTTTCTTCAGAGAGAATGATTCTACCCTTAGAACTGTGGCTTTCAAAGTTTTTGGACTGTGATCTGCAGTGCATTTACATTAGACTCAAAATATAGTGTGTGCGTGTGTGTGTGTGTGTGTGTGTGTGTAGATAACAGAAATAAAGGATTCTTGGAACAGTACTCACCTTTTACTATGTGTAGTGCATTTTAATATTTTTCATTCTATTTCATTTTTTAAAATGCTGGTTAAAACTCACTGAATTGATTTCATAAAGATCACACTGCCTGCCCTAGAGGTATTCTATACCAAAATTACTCTGCTTTTAACTCTACCACCATCAGAATTTCTGGTTCTTCATAGTTGGTTAGAAGGAAAGCAATCTGTTTGATTATAGTCATTCATACCTTTGAGTAGGAAAATAGGAATTACAGATTTGTCAAAAGGTCAAGCCCTGTCTTGCTCTGTTTCATGCTGCTCTAACAGAATACCACAGACTAGGTAATTTATAACGAACAGAAACTTAATTTGGCTCGTGGTCCTAGAGGCTGGGAAGTTCAAGATTAAGGGGCTGCATCTGGTAAGGGCCTTCTTGCGGAATCATAACATGGCAGAAGGGATCACCTGAACAAGAGAGAGCAAGAGATCGAACTCACAGTATTAAACCCCTCTATAATCTGCATTAATTCATTATTGAGAGTGGAGTCCTCCTGACCTAAACACCTCCCATTAGGCCCCATCTCTCAACACTGCTGCATTGGGGATTAAGTTTCCAGCACATGCTTTTGGGTGACAAATTTAAGTCATAGCAGGCCCTATTTACTTAGAAACAGGGGAGTTGGATTGGAGAATACTTTCGAGGGGCAGAGTAGAACGAGGCAAAGAGGCATATTTTTGGATGTTGAGAAAAGATGGAACAAAGAGAACAGGACCAGTGACCTGATACTTAGCTTCTCAGTATAAAACTCCTCCTTATATAAGGCTTATAATGTCTATCTTCCCTTAAGCCACATCATGACCAACCTTTTGGTCATGCTCTGCCATCATCAGATTTTGAAAACTGCCTCATAGTCTTTTTTTTTTCCACTCTACATCCTGAGGTTGATTGTAATGAGTAATTCAGAGTCTGTGTGGGTAATCTGCCCCACACCCTGTCTGCACAATTCTTTGACTTCCTCCTCTTCACTACCCATTTGTATACCCTCTCAACCCACAACTATCACCTAGGCCCAGTTATCCCCTGAGTACTCCACCGCCAGATCTTGAAACTCCAGGATTCTACCCTGTAAGCTAGAGTCTTTAAATGTTTTTGTTCCAAAGATTCCTTTGGCAGTCTGTTGAAGCCCATGGACTTCTCAGAATCATGTTCTTAAATGCATAAAGTGCTTAGGATTAGAAAAAAAATCAGTTATATTGAAATTATCAAGACGTTAAATTTATGATATAGTAATATGTGGTTTTTAATTACTGCATTACATAACAAGATCTGTCAGTGAGTCCAATAACTTATTTTGAGGTAGGGATAAGATGAATGATATTTCAAGATAACTATAACAATCGTATTGGGATATGGAGATGTTGGTGATTTCTGTTGGTGACAAAGTCACAGGAACTACTAATGCTACTATGATTTGTTGCTTACATTCATAGTTGAAGGAAATGCTAGATTTTAATTAGATCTTAGTAAAGATAAATGTGTAATTCAAGTTTGTACCCCCTGAATTTTTCCCTTAGGCCTATGGACCCAATGTAAGAGCCCTTGCTCCAGGCACAGCCGTTTCATGTCCTTGCTGCTTCTGTACAGTTTCTTTGATCCTACCAGGATTTCCAGTTCCTTTTCCCCATGTTCTTTGTCTTTCAGCTCCCTCCTGACTTGCGTATATGCCTTTCTGTGTCCAGTTTAGACCTTGCAGTCTATTATTTCAACCACTTTATTACCAATTCCTTCAACTCCTTTGTCCCCATGTCCTTGAGCTGCACCCATGTGGCAGTTCCATTACCCACCCATTCTCTTGCTGATCCTTCCTGCCTTGCTTCAGGATCTTGGCATTTTTGTCCTGAATTATTACATCCTCTTGCTCCTATGGAC
Organism: Homo sapiens; assembly: GCF_000001405.40. Classification (NCBI taxonomy): domain Eukaryota; kingdom Metazoa; phylum Chordata; class Mammalia; order Primates; family Hominidae; genus Homo; species Homo sapiens. Next base: position 53,782,284 of record NC_000001.11, on the reverse strand, counting down.
TCTCAACTGAGTTACTTCGTGCTCTGATTCCAGCCACTCTGCTATTCCCATGAGTCCTCTGCTCTTATAACTACCATAGACTATTCAGTCTCTGCCTCCCACCAAATATATCTTATTTTCTTAACTTGACTCTAACTGCACATGCTGCCTTTTCTTTCCTTTTTTGTCTAGAACATATTTTTCTCCTTTGGTCTGACTCTACTCTGTAACTCCCCCCTCAACACTTTATTGTCTTTATTGACTTTTATTGTCTCCTCTTCATATTAGCTAGAGTAGAGGTGGGGACTTTGTCTCGCCTCTATTCCCATCATCTGATATAGTACCTGGCAAATGACAGGCACTTATTAAATGCTTGTTGGATGGCTGCTGGATTGCATCATTGCTGGTTCAGTGGACGAAGACTTCTGTTTTGGGGCTTAAATTTAGTGACAGTTCTGATGCAATGGGTTGATTAAAATGCTCCCAAACCATCTTTTTGTTTTGAGAGGCAGGAATGTGATGTGACTCATATGATCCCTGTTATATATTTTTGGCTTTCTGTTCTTTGGTCTAGAAGGGATCAAAGTGAAGAGCGTAAGTTTAAGTATCTCTGTAATTTAAGGCAAGTTGTACATTACTGGCTTCTGGGTGTTACTAAGGAACAATTGTGTGGAACTGTTCTATCCTTTTGTTTTACTTTTCAGTATGAATAACATCAGCCATTTCACTGAATCATTAAAGGCAAAATGTGAAAGGGAAGGGGAGCCTTTCATCCTTCAAAGTATTCAGAGGGCAAGGAGTAGAGTGATGGATATGCTAGCTAGCTCAGTGGTTTCAGCCAGTGGCCAGACCATCCTGGAGATCACTGTTATTATAAGGGACATATGTACTTTCATTTGAATGATTACCATTTCTCCAACATATTTGCAGCTGTTTTCTCAGAGGTTTTTACATGCTGTTTTGGTTAATTAAAATACAAATTCATTTGAAAGCATTGCTGAGTTCATAGTAGTTATTTCCTTTATCAGTGGATGGACAACAAGTATTATCCTCTGGAGGTCCATAGGATTTTATTGTTGTTTTTAAAAAGGGTGCTTACATACAAAATGTTAGGAACCAAAATGATATATTTTATAATTAAAATTTTTTTGGCTAAGTGCGTTGGCTCATGCCTGTAATCCCAGAGTTTTGAGAGGCTGAGGCAGGAGGATAGCTTGAGGTCAGGAGTTCAAGACCAGCCAGGGCAACATAGTGAGACAGTGTCTATAAAAAAAATTTTTAAAAATTTGCCAGGTGTGATGATGCTAGCTTATAGTTCCAGCTACTTGGGAGGCTGGGGCTGAAGGATCACTTAAGCTCAGGAATTTGAGGCTGTAGTGAGCTATGTGACTGTACTCCAGGCTGGGCAACAGAGTGAGACCCTGTCTCTAAAAAAAAAAAAAGAAAGAAAAATTAAACTTAGTAAAATATACATAACATAAAAATTAACCTTTTTAATCTAATTTTTAGTGTGTGGTTCTATGACATTAAATATATTCACATTGTTATGCAGTCATCACCACCATCCATCTCCAGAACCTTTTCATCTTTAAAATATGTTTTACATTCTTTAGATAGCCTTGGTTTCTGTGGAAAGGCCAATGTCATCCTAATGAAGTTGATCAACCCTATCTATTATATTTTTTGCCTCGTCACTTGAAGGTCAAATTTTGATCTATTTGGAATATTGATGTTTACCTTTATGCCATTCACAGATCCATCCCTCCAGTAACTATTTAATTATCAAGCAATTAGCATGTGATACGATACAGAATGGAAAAAGACAGGGTTCCTGCCCTCCGGGAGCTTACAGGATGTAAAACAGATAATCATACAAAGAACTACAGTTGTAGTCAGTGCCACAGTGCCACTGTGCATAGAAATGCAGTATGAGGCTGGGCGCGGTGGCTCACGCCTGTAATCCCAGGACTTTGGGAGGCTGAGGCGGGTGGATCACCTGAGGTCAGGAGTTTGAGACCAGCCTGGCCAACATGGTGAAACCCTATCTCTACTAAAAATACAAAAAATTAGCCGGGGGTGGTGGCGGACGCTTGTAATCCCAGCTACTCGGGAGGCTGAGGTGGGAGAATCGCTTGAACCTGGGAGGCAGAGGTTGCGGTGAGCTGCGATTGTGCCGTGATTGTGCCATTGCTCTTCAGCCTGGGCAACAACAGCAAAATTCCATCTCAAAAAAAGAAAAAAAAGAAATGCAGGATGATCAGAGAACATATGACAGGTGAATCTGAGCTAGTCTTGCAAGTAGGGGATAGAGAGATGTGAGATAATTAATGGCTCCTGGAGAATGTAGGGGTTGGAAGGAGGAATGGGGGAAAGAAAGGAATATTCTTGAGGGCCAGAGCTATGGATTTGAAGGCCCAGAGACCCTTGACCAACATTGTATCAGTCAGAGTCTATTCTCGGTTTCTATGAAGTCCTATGCTGCTTTACCTAACATTTGCATAGTATTCCAAAAGAAATGCTTTAAAAATGTTTTTTGTAAAACCCTGTGAGGTTAAAAGAAGGCTTATTTTGCATGTTGAAGTCTCTTTCAGAAACTATTTTCTGTGTGAGTACAACTTATTCATGATTGTACCTAGTAAATGGCTGAGTCAGAATTGGAAACTAGGGTTTTGGACCCCAAGTCCTTCGCAGGCCACCCTTTTAGATTACCTTTGGGAGAGCTTGGCAGAGTTTTGCATTTCTTAACCTCCTTTTTCACGATAGAATGGCAGTATGGCAGATGTGCCAAAGTGTGAGATCTGGAATCAGACTGACTTGTGTCTGAATTCCAGCTTCTACTGTTTCCTAGTTGGAAAATAACATTTATTATATTTCTTTGAATCTAAGATGCCATTAATTGGAACATATACCTTCATTTCAGAAAGTATAAAATGTAAAAAAAAAAAGTATGTTATAGAACTAATAAATATGGCAATCTCTAAACATCAGTTTTTATATCTGGAAGATGGGAGTGATGATAATGGTAGCTAGCTACCTCATAGGGTTATGAAGAGTAAATGAGATTATCTCTGTAAGGCCCTTGGCATGTGTGACCCATACTAGGTGCTTAGTAAATGTTAGCTCTTACTACTTTGTTGTCATTATTCCTATGTTACATGACAATTTTTTTTTTTTTTTTTTTTTTTTGCGACAGAGTCTTGCTTTATCACCCAGACTGGTCACTGCAACTTCACACGCTGGGCTTAATTGATCCTCCCTCCTCAGCCTCCCAAGTAGCTGGGACCACAGGCACGCACCACTATGCCCAATAATTTTTTTGTATTTTTAGTAGAGACAGGTTCTTGCCATGTTGTCCAGGCTGCTCTTGAACTCCGGAGCTCAAGTGATCTGCCTGCCTCGGCCTCCCGAAGTGTTGAGATTATAGGCGTGAGCCACTGCATCCAGCCACATGATAATTCTTATACAGGAGAAAAGATCTTTCAGATTAAAAGAAAGGTTAAAAAAAAAGTATTGCTGTCAATACTGTTAGCAAGCAATCTAGCAGACATAGTGTCAGACAGATACCCAGTTTAAACTATTCATATATTATCTTCATAATTTTTGTCATAACTATATTTTCACATACTATTGTCATTTAGTCATATTTTATTTCCCTGAGCTTTTATTTACTTAGTGTTTTAAGTCATTCATTTATTCTTTTTTTTTTCTTTTTTAATAAAGAGACAGGGTCTCACTTTGTTGCCCAAGCTAGTCTCCAACTCCCAGGCTCAAGCGATCCTCCTGCCTTGGCCTCCCAAAGTGTTGGGATTACAGGCGTGAGCCACCATGCCCGTCCAAGTCATTTATTTTAAAAGGAAACTTTATGACTACTGTAAAGGAAATTTTATGACTATAGTAAAGGAAAACTAGTTTGACTTGCTACAAATAGAATATGGGTCTATAGTCCTTTATCTCAAACCTTACCATGTATTTCAGAATTCAGATGTTTATTAATTTTAAAAATGTGACAGTGTGTGTGTGTGTGTGTGTGTGTGTGTGTGTGTGTATATACACACACACATCATATACTATATTACATTCCTTTTGGTATCTGAGGTAGAATCCCCTTAATCGGATACATTAATGCTTTTCTCCGGTTAACTGAATATTCAGATTAAGTGGGGTAAAGTGGGATGAAGACTATAAATAGCCTGTGTCAGCACAGGTCATGTTTTACTGCCAGATGAGTCCAAGTCAGGTCAGCTTTTGCCACCAAAAGATTTACATCTTTTGTTACAACATCACATCACTTTAAAAAAAAAAAGATTCTCCGGGCGCGGTGGCACACACATGTAATCCCAGCACTTTGGAAGGCCAAGACTGATGGATTGCTTGAGCCCCTGGTCAACATGGTGAAATCCCGTCTCCAACAACAGCAACAACAAAATTTAGGTGGGGAGGTGCACACGCCTATAGTCCCGTCTACTTGGGGGCTGAGCAGGGAGGATCACTTGAGCCTGGGAGGTCAAAGCTCAGTGAGCTGTAATCATACCACTACACTCAGCCTGGGCAACAGAGTGAGACCCTGTCTCAAAAAGAAAAAATAAGGTTGCAGAAGTTTTTTGTTTTCAGTGCTTTTTGGATATCAGAATTGAGGATAAGGCAATTAAAGTGAGAAAAGTCAATGATTTTAAATTCTAGCTTGATACTCTTACTTGCTGAGGTCTCTGAACCTGAGGCCTGCTTATCTTTTGTTACAAATGTGGATAGTGTGAGATTAGTAAGAACTAGAGAGGGGTTAAGGACACATTTACTCTAAACTGAGATTTTCCTTCTTAATTTAACGCTTATACCATTAGGGTGTGTTGGACCTAATTTTTTGCATTTCTATTTTGAGCATTTCTAACTATTTATAAAGATTGCTATTTTATGACCTTTATTCTTTCTTAGAGGTCTTTTAGAGAACAAAGAGAGCAATTACTTATTTAAAAAAAATTCAACAAGGTTGGACATGATGGCTCACATCTGTAATCCCAGCACTTTGAGAGGCTGAGGTGGGAGGATTGCCTGAAGCCAGGAGTTCAAGACCAGCTTGGTCAAGAAAGCGAGATCCTGTCTCTATAAAAAGTTTTAAAAAAAATTAGCTGGGTGCTGTGGTGTGCACCTGTAGCCTCTAATAGTGAGGAGGCTGAGACAGGAGGATTGCTTGAGTTTGAGACTACAGTGAGGTATGCTTGCCCTACTGCACTTCAGCCTGGGCAACAGAGTGAGACCCTGTCTCTAAAAAAAAAAAAATTCAACAAAATTTATTCTCTTGCAATTATCCATGTAGGTCTGTTGGGCCCTTTTAAAATCTAAGGTATATTATAGATCTAGTGATTGTACATTTTCACTATCTTGTAACAATTTGCTATCGATTATCCTAGGAATTATCATTACTCATTAGTTATTCTTGTGTTGTAAAAAAGACTAATATGAAAACAGAATAATGATAAAATCATGTAGTATTGCATGATTTTTCATGAAAAGCTATATGAAAAGTCTAGACACACATCTTTGTAGTCTTTTAGTTTTCATTGAATACAATTGATAATTCATAATTTTTAAATTTTCTGTCCACATGGTAAAGGGAAGAAAATTGCCAATATGTTAAAACAATTACTGAGACACATTGGAAGACAAATGCAGAGAGACAGATAGCAGCACTCTAGACCAGTTCTGTCCAATAGAAATAAAATGCAGTCACCTATGTAATCTTATATTTTCTGATAGATACATTAACAAAATACAGGTGAAATTAATAGTACAGTTTATTTAACCCAGTATTTAAGGTAGTATCATTTTATCATGTAATCAAGATAAAATTACTAATGAGATCTTTTATATCCATTTTTACATGCTAATTCTTAGAAATCTGGTGTTTGTTTTTCACTTTGTAGCATATCTCAATTCAGACCTGCCACATTTCAGGTGCTCAATAGCTACATGTGGCTAGTGGTTGCCATATTGGACAGCATAGCTCTAGACTTTAATGATGATGGTGAAATTGATCATATAAGAGGAATTTCAGGACCGGGCGCGGTAGCTCACACCTGTAATCCCAGCACTTTGGGAAACCGGGGAAGGCAGATCACTTGAGGTCAGGAGTTCGAGACCAGCCTGGCCAACATGGTGAGACCCCGTCTCTACTAAAAATAGCAATAAATTAGCTGGGCATGGTGGTGCATGCCTGTAATCCTAGCTACGAGGGAGGCTGAGGTGGGAGGATCGATTGAACCAGGGAGGCAGAGGTTGCAGTGTGCTGAGATCGTGCCACTGCACTCCAGCCAAGATGACAGAGTGAGACTCCGTCTCAAAAAAAAAAAAAAAAAGGAATTTCAGACTGTGAACCTTCAGTTGATGATATTCTAGATATATTTTCCTGAAACTCAAAGATTACAGAACAATATGTTTTTAAGGAGAGCAAGGAAATATATGTGGTATGCTTATCTAGTAAGTCATTCAACAGGAAAGACTTCATCCCACAGTATTTTATAATAAGAACTTAAATCTCTCATTTTGCTAAGAGTACACATGACCAGTGTTCCTTCATTTGCTGTTGTATTTGTGCACCAAAATTTGCTTTATACAATTTGTAAGGGGATAAGTGCTGAAGGTAGCTGTGTGTATACAAAGATAAGAAGGCAATAGGTGATGTCAAAGAAAAAAAGCCATTGGAATTGATCATTTGAATTTGTATTTATAAACCTAAGAATGAAAGTGTTTTGCAGCCAGGTGCGGTAGCTCATGCCTGTAATCCTAGCACTTTGGGAGGCTGAGGCGGGCGGATCACTTGAGGTCAGGAGTTCAAAACCAGCCTGGCCAATATGGTGAAACCCTATCTCTACTAAAAATACGAAAAAATTAGCTGGGCGTGGTTGCGGGCGCCTGTAATCCCAGCTACTTGGAAGGTTGAGGCAGGAGAATCGCTTGAACCTTGGAGGCAGAGGTTGCAGTGAGCCGAGATCACACTACTGTACTCCAGCCTGGGTGACAGAGTGATACTCTGTCTCAAAAATAAAAAGAAAGAAAAAGAAAATGTTTTGCAATTAAGGTGCAAAGAAAATGGCTGTACTTTCTTCAGCAAAATTATGAGTTGTCAAAAGTTATTTAAGGTACTGCATTTTGATGGTGCAAATGCAAGAAAAAGAACCAGAAGAATTGATGAGCTAGAACCTATTAGAGATACAGCCTAAATTTTGAGTTAGTATTTACAAGATGGATATATTCCAGATTTATGCATAATAGCTGGTGAACAGCTAGTTGCATTCAAAGGACATTGCTTATTTCAGGTGTGTATACCTTCAAAACCTAGAAAATATGGAATAAAAATTTGGATTTGCCGTGTTTATATTCTTATTTTCATTTTTATTTTATTTTATTTATTTAGTTTTTTAGAGACAGGTTGTTGCGCTGTTGCCCAGGCTCGAGTACAGTGGCATGATCATGGTTCACTGTAACCTTGAACTCTTGGGCTCAAGTAATCCTCCCACCCACATCAGTCTCCCAAGTAGTTGTGACTACAGGTATTGGACCACATCCAGCTAATTTTTAAATTTTTTGTAGTGACAGAGTCTTTCTGTGTTGCCCAGGCTGGTCTAGAACTCCTGGCTTCAAGCAGTCCTCCTGCCTCAGCCTCCCAAAGTGCTGGGATTACAAGTGTGAGCCATTGTGCCTGGCCTTCTTATTTAAAGTTTTATGGTGTTATTTTACATTACCTTGTCATCTGTAAATTGTTTGTAAAATGATTTTAGACTACAAAAAATATAAAGTATTCATAGGACCCAGGCATTAATGATGATGATTATTTTTCCTGGTATACTGAGGGTTAATCAGGACATTTGCAAGAAAATTGAAAAGAATATAACTTTTCCATTATGATGGAACAAGATTTGATGCATTTGTTCAATCTGCCACGATAACTCTGAGTCCAATCATTTATTTTTTCAACTGTCACTTTTAAAAGTGTTTCCCAAGACTGGAACATGCTTGAGATAATTTTAGGTAGTAGTTGAAATTCAGTGAAATACTTAAATAACACTAAATTCAGTGAAATTCAGTGAAATATTAAGTAATGCTAAAGTTACCGTGGCAGACTGAACACATGCATCAAATTTTGTTCCTTCCCCAAAACTCTGCTAAACTATAGGAAAGGTATTTTATAATACTTAAATCCATAAACAGGAGAGGACATAATAGCAACAAAACTTTCAAAGCTGGAAAGCAGATGGTTGAGATCGCTAACTTAGCAGTTTCCAGAGGCAGATTTCAAATTGGTGGTGGGAGAAGCACCAAGTAACTCTAGAACCACGCGTGAAGGGACAGGTACCCAAAATAAAGAGGTTTGGGTGAGAGCTGTTTGAAAATTAGTTAGATCCCTAGATCCTATGATGTGGGGTAATTGCTCCTCTTCCACTGTAGTCTGAGGTTTATCCTTTAAGAGAGAGTAGAACACCCAGTCTGGGGGAGTTGTGGGTGCTGCACTAAAGGAGAGGGATGAGTTCCAAAGCCCTGGTGTCCACCTGGCTTCAGAACACTGGGGCAGGCCCTGTAGTCAGGATACTAGAAGACTTTTCTTTGGGCACTCTGACCAGTCCAAGAAGAAAGACCTAAAGTGACTGAGTTGAAGGTTCACGCCCCAAAAGTCCCTGCAGATGACCCACTGTGAAGCCGCTCGTCTGTAATCCCCAGTCATGCACTTAGAATTGGTGCTCAGCTCTTTAGCAGGTCCCACTTGCATTTGTGAACGAGGATCACTAGATTTCTGAGGAAAGTCTCTCATGCAGAAGTTGGAGACTAAAGGGAGCAAAGGGGGAAAATCAGCTTGGAAGAAACTAAAAAACAAAAAAGCTGTCATCAGAATCCTTAGAAATAAGAAAGGATATTGCATCTTTGAAACAAAAATAGGATGCTAAAATTAAAAAGAACAGATGATGTTAAAGAGCTCTTGAAATTAAGAACTTGATGGCAAAAATAATTTTAATTATTTTTGTTTTCAGTTCTTTTGGTGGTTACATTCATAACTATAAATAGTACGCTTATACTGTTGTATCTTGTCAGTTTATTTTTCCATGGGGACCTCATGATGTAACAGTATCATAAATGCCTTATCTGAATTGAAAAGGAAGATAAACTATTTAGTGAATAACTATTTCTGTAAAGTATAAAGTTTTGGTCTTTTTTTTTTTTTTTGCTGAGGTCTTTTAATAAAGCTCCTCCTGGCTGTCACATCATAAGCAGAGTAGGACATCAGTGTTTGACTTCAAGCTTTGCATTTTCAAGGATATTGAATGATAGCTTCATTTCCAAGGGCAAGTCTGGATTTTGGGGGGGGCCTGGTAACTGTCATAGTAGCTGAGCCTCCCTATTGCATTGTTTATGAAACTATTTTGACTGTGATCTACAGTAAGAAATGTGTTACAGCATAGCTATAGATATGTGTATATCTCTCTGTATATATCCATTTGTATCTATCTCAAATCTTAATTCTTTGGACTGAAGTGACTTTTTTCTTTTTAATTTTTTATTTTATTTTATTTTATGTTATATTATGTTTGTTTTGTTTTGTTATGTTATGTTATGTTATGTTATGTTATGTTATGTTATGTTATGTTATGTTATGTTATTTTGAGACAGGATCTCTGTCGCCCAGTCTGGAGTACAGTGGAACTCCTGGGCTCAAGCAGTCCTCCCGCCTCGTCCTTCCAAAGTGTTGGGATTACACATGTGAGCCACAGCACCTGGCCTAGGTTGGCTTTCTTTATAATCTAAACTGATGTGTTTTCTTTCTTGGTGTAGGCAGTCGACAAGTACTTTAAGCTTCCTCATGCTTCCAGTAAACCACCCCGGATTTCAGGAAGCCTTGTGGACACTTCATATAAAACATTAAGATTTGCATTCAGAGCATCACTGAAAACTGCCATCTATCGAATAACTACTACATTTGGTGAACATCTGAAGTAAGTTTACCTGTTTTGATCCATGATGATACCTATTCTGGGGAGCTTTCCTTAGAAATAGGTATGGGAATGATAAGGCTCATGTGTTGAAAGTGTTCTTTTGGGACCTTGATGATTCTCACTGTAAACTTACAGCTTGGATGTGGACTTAATATTTATATTTTAAAATTTGGCCCATCATAAAGCTTTGGGGATTTCTTTCAAATGGACAAAAGAAGACAGAAAGTTATAAATGCAGCAGATTAATTATATATATATATTTAAATTATCAAAAGATCCTTAAGGGAGAAAAAAGAGCAGAAAACCCGAGTACCTTTCCAGAAAAGCATATTAAAACTAATTCTATTGTTATATCTTGGTCAGCAAACTGAAGACTTGGGGTGAGCAAAGTATTCCAGAAATGAATCCCTGGTGCTTTGTGATTCATGCTGGAAAAACACCAACAGATCACAACACCTTGAGAAACAGAACCAGAGAGAAAACCACAAATGCCAAGCCTGTTTATATTTAGTTTTATTCATGTTTACTGCTTTCCTCTTGTGAAATGATCTAGCTAGGCAGGATGAGGGATACTAGCTTAGTAACTAAACTGTATTTATATTTATCACAATTATAAATGAACTTTAGAAGACACGAGAGATTGCTCTGCTGTTTTTGTATGCAATCAATGAATAGTTTAAGACTTCCAATTTAAATTAAAGTTAAATAAAGTTAAAAATTCAATTTGTCAGTCACCCTAGCCACATTTGAAGTACTTAATAACTACATGTGTTTAGTAGCTACTGTATTGGACAACAGAAGTATAACATCTTTCCCTACTTCCAGAAAGTTTTATCAGATAGTGCTATTCTAGACAATACACTTAGAACTTAATGTTTTTTCATTTACTCTTTTCAAAGACCCTGTGAAGTGTAGAAATTATCATAATTGTACAGATACGAAAACTGAGGCATAGAGATGTTAAAATTTGCCTGATAGCACAATCTAGTGCGTATTAAACATGAACCTGAAATCAAGTCTTTCTTTCTCTTAAAAATCTTTCATCTTTCTATCTACAACACTAGACTGCCTCCAAGATATAAATTAGTATGTAGGACACATTCAGAAAATACTGATGAATTTAGAGAATGAAATAGATATGACATATATTAATGATAGAACAAAAGCAAGGAGAAGGGCATACCCGTAGACCTTGCCTGACTGTGCTCATGTCCAGGCAGGGGGGACATTGTATTCGAGATTAATTTGAAGTTCCTGCCAGCTTTATCCAGCTTAATCAGTGGCTGGATAAATAGCAGGACTGTAACATTCCCCTGGGGGAAAAAAGGCAAGAAGAAAAGGGGAGCATAGGGATTTAGATAAGAAAGCGATATAGGCCAGGCACAGTGGTCTATGCCTGTTATCCCAGCACTTTGGGAGGCCGAGGTGGGTGGATCACCTCAGGTCAGGAGTTTGAGATCAGCCCGGCCAACATGGTGAAACCCCGTCTCTACCAAAAATACAAAAATTCACTGGGCGTGGTGGTGCTCACCTGAAATCCCAGCTACTCGGGAGGCTGAGGCATGAGAATCACTTGCACCCAGGAGGCGGAGGTTGCAGTGAGCCGAGATCGTGCCTCTGTACTCCAGCCTGGACAACAGAGCGAGACTCGGTCTCAAAGAAAAAAAAGAAAAAGAGATATAGATGACTGATTAAAAATTATGAGAATGGATTATGAGAATGGGCCGGTTGCAGAGGCTCATGGCTGTAATCCCAGCACTTTGGGAGGCCAAGGCGGGCGGATCATCTGAGGTCAGGAGTTTGAGACCAGCCTGGCCAACATGTTGAAACCACTTCTCTACTAAAAATACAAAAATTAGCTGGGCATGGTGGCAGGCAACTATAATCCCAGCTACTCCAGAGGCTGATGCAGGAGAATCACTTGAACCCGGGAAGTGGAGGTTGCAGTGAGCCGATACTGCACCACTGCACTCTAGCCTGGGCGACCGAGCAAGACCCTGCCTCAAAGATAAATAAATAAATAAATACATAAATAAATAAAATAAAAATTGTGAGAATGAAATTCCGCCTTAGTTTCTTTTCTCTGAAAAGAGCCATATTTTAGCGAGACCCTGCCTCAAAAATAAATAAATACATAAATAAAATAAAAATTGTGAGAATGAAATTCCACCTTAGTTTCTTTTCTCTGAAAAGAGCCATATTTTATATATGTGCCAAAGCTGATAAAATCAGTGGAGGCTATTTGTACAAATGTAGGACAGTGTCGTATAGTGGAAAGAATGTTAGATCTGGAGTTAAAATATCTGGATTTCTGTCTGCTTGCATCATTAGCTATCTGTGATTGTGAGCAAGTTTCCTAGTGTTTTAAGTAATTCACCCAAGATTATGCAAGTAGTGAGTTGCAGAACCAGGATTCAGATGCAAATCTTTCTAACCCTAGGGTTCTATCTCTAGTGTCTATACTCCTAACCTAGACTGTGGTGTTTCCCCTAACTTCTGAATCTTTCTGATACAGTTTTTGTCCCCATGAAAGGGAACATTCTCACACCCACTTGGTTTCATTTGTTGTTAGTAAAGATAAAATGGGATCATACGTAGGTAAAGCCCACTGTGCAGTCTACATTATCATGATACTTATTGTATAATATCTGATTATTCACTATTCAAAGCTCTACCTCTGAGAACTAGGTATAAATGAAGTTAGCTCTTGAGCTCTGAAAATCAACTAACAAACACAGCCCACTCATTGGAGACATTCATTCAACACTATTTACTTATTTTTTAAAAGATAAATTGTATTGTGTATATTTGAGGTTTATAACATATGTTATGGGATTTATATATAAATAGTAAAATGTTTAGTGAAGTAAATTAACATGTCTGTCATCTCACATAGTTACTTTCTTGTGTGTATGTCAAAGGCAGCTAAAATCTGCTTATTTAACAAAAATACCTAGTACATTACAATTTTGTTAGCCATAGTCGTCATGTTATACATTAGATCTCTAGACTTGTTCATCCTACATATGTGCAACTTTCTATCCTTTGACCTACATCTCCCCATTCCCTGCCACCTCCCATTTACTCCTAATTTAGGCTAATTTAATTCTGGTTTTCCAGCCTATAACATATCAAAAAAATTTTTTTGAGTCAGGGTCTTGCTCTGTTGCCCAGGCTGGAGTGCAGTGACAAGATCATAGCATAGTTCACTGCAGCCTCAAACTCCTGAGCTCAAGCAGTTCTCCTGCCTCAGGCCTCTCAGTGTTGGGATTACAGGTGTGAACCACCATGCCTGGCCCATATCAAAATTTATTTGAGGGGCAGAGATTGCTACTAGAGTCAGGAGTACTAATAGTAAATTGTAAGGGACACTTTACTACCTGCTAGCAGAGAGAAATATAATGGGAAAGCCACAGATTTGGTGTTGGAGAGAATTCCAGAGCCATTAAGTTAGAGAAGACAGCCTCACTAGCACCTAGAGGGCATCTTTGTACAGTAAAATACTTGAAATGGTTCAATTGGAGGTACATGGTTCAAGAAAGCAAAGATGTCTATAAGACATTTTAGGGCAATTCATAACACAATTATTAAAATAAGACCGTTTTGGCACTTTTAAAAGCGGTGACCTATTCAAGAACTAGAAAACCGGAATTTTTCATTATATTCAATTTTTGCCCAAAAGTTTAAGAGGAAGTATTATACTAGTTTCAGTATATATTTGCCCTAATTTTATCAAGGTGTAATATATTTTCGTGATGGTGAGGGTGGAGAGAGAACACAGTGTTCACATCCAAAACATAACTTATGTTCAAAGGGAGAAGTAAATCTAAACCACCAAGCTGTTACCTTTGAAAACAATTAATGGAGTCTATTGTGTTTTAACCAAACATTTTAGATTAAAGGATTTTGTATTAAAGGCAATTCAGATACTCCACAACTCAAAGATAATGTTGGAATCTGGTTTAAATAAAATAATAAAATCCAGAAAATCTACTCCAAGGCCTGGAACTCCGCACAGCAGGTTCCATAGCAGAGCAGGTTAAAGTCAATGCCTTCACTTGTCAGTCTTAATTTGTTTGGTCTTTTAGAAGATAGAAGCATGCCATTACTGAATGCAAGCCCTCCTCTTCATTAGATTAAAAAGAGTTTTCATCCAGCTTTTTCAGAAATAGTAATAAGTGAAGATTTCTATTCATTTTTAATTGTTTTGAAAAATATTGTCTCTGTGCTCTGTGGTTCACTTAATATGCTTAATGTAAAATAAAGCTTATGCTTTGAATTTATGTTTCATTTAGTGCTGTGCAAGCATCTGCAGAACATCAGAAAAGACTTCAACAGTTCTTGGAGTTCAAAGAATAGTTAAGTAATATAAACTGTGTTCATTACACTGCTGATACAACTACAGATGGGACAGTAAATGTTCAGCATTCTTGGATCAGAAGAAAACGGACTAATTAGATGCTTCCTTTGTCGTGGTGGTTGCTTTGAAAACTATACTTTAATGGGAGAAATCATGGAAAGAAATTCTCAACAGAATAACTGAAAACTGCCTTTTCTGTACCGATTGCTTTTTGTGTGTGTGGTATAATAAAATCTTTATTCAATTTTACAGAAGCATTGATGGCAGTCGAAATGTCTCTAGCTCATATAACTTAATAGTAATAACTAAAAAACTTTTAGAATTTACTTTTGAAAGGAGGGAAGCCAGTTCTGAAATGAGTATAGGTTGATTTCATAGTCTTCTTAATTAAGAGTTTAGCTCTTTGTAAACTCAAAATACATAAACTTTTTAAGTGTAGTTTCATTTACTGAAGGATAAAAATGGTAACAGTGCAGCAATATTCACAAAAAATATTGTCTAACGGACATATTTTGTTAATCTGTTAGGTTGGGTTTTTGTTTCCAGGGACAAATTAAATTTGTATGATTACCCAAAAAAGGGTCTCAGTTTACAGATGCTAACTCTATATAAAGGAATGTGGAAAAACTCAGTTCTTAAGTTACAAGATTAAAAATTCACATTTGGTCTTTAAGAAACAATTGACTGACATCTATGAATTTATTTTGTATCATGCTAGTAAACACGAAGTATTAATGTATGGGTATTTTCCCAGCTAGTTTTGCTTTCTTTTTCTGGAGCAAAACATTAAGTGATTGCAGAGTTTTTCAAGCAAGAGAAAAAGGTTTGCAAAAAAACCCAGGAAATGTTCCCTTTTTTCCCCACCATTCATCTTCATTAGATCAAATTCTGTGAAACTTGTCTGGTCTCTCAAAGGGAGCAGCCTCTGTAGTGTTAAATGGCTAATTAAAATAGGAAGATCTTTATAGCCAGAAACAACTTAGTCATCAAATAGCAAGTGAAACCAAAACGTCAGAGGGATTACTGTACTTGGAAGTATGTTGTGTGTCCCAAATGTGAACGAAGTATTGTTAGAATTTATTAGATCAGCTTCTTTGGAGATCAAAGATTGGAAATCCTAGTCATAGATATTCACTGGACTGGCTTTGGACTGAAATGCTCCTTTGTAATTCTTTTCCTATTGTCTTTTCCTTCTAGTGTCCCAAAATATTTTCTTTAAAGTCAGCACAGTACTGTATATGAATCTTTAATGTGGTATCATATATGTCTACTTTTGTCTGATTCATCGATGTATTATATCTTTATAATTGAATATTTTAGCTCCGGGTCCTGTTGCCCCTTCAAGCAGTACATGCCAAATTATAAATAGGTGCTACTGGCCTTGAGCATATCACTGTGGGACAGTTCCCCAATTGTCAAGTGTTTAGATATGTAGACTATTGCCATTTGTTTTTTTGTTTTGGTTTTGCTTTGTGTCTGAAGCTGAATTGATTTCTTTTTTTTGAATGTGAAAGTTGAATTTCAAACGTAGTCATTTCTTACAGATGGCCAAGACAGAAAATTGTGGCTAGGTTGACTGAGAACTGTTGTCTTCCATGTATTAACACAATTAAGCTTTTTATATTCCACTCTCTGTGCTGACCCTGGCTGAGGCATTTTGGGAGACAAGGACTCTGAATCTTCTGCTTCCATTAAAGAAGAACTGTGATATTCAACATTGGATTTCTGAGAATAAAGATAGGATGATTCCTTTGAACTTTGACTTACTTGTATAAAATGTCCAGCTAGGTTAGGTTTTTGCCATTTCCTATATACTTTGGGTAAAGCTACATTTGATGAGCAATGTGAATGTTTCTGAGAATGTTCATTCCTGTTTTCTCTTAAGAGAATGTGCTGTGTACTAAATACAGGCCACATAGTGTCTGCCTGTTGAAGATCTGGAAACTGCCTCCCCAGATCTGTATTGTATTTGGTAGGTAAGGGGGTCAGTTTCTTTTTCTCATTGTGTGTTGATAATCTACACACCATCTGTTGGAACCAGGGTGTTATTATGGGGAACTCCTCCTGTGTACTAGGAGGAGGACCTTAGGGAGACCAAGAGGAGAGAAGCATTTCCTTTGATGAAGTCACATCCTGTCTATGAGCCCACTAATGCTGTAACATTGGCCTGAAAGAGAGTGTTCTTTAAAAGCCTTTCTCGGCTGTTAGTATAAAAACATGATGGTATCAGCTCTTAGCATGTTTGCTTGACCCTTATGGAAGGTATAAATCCACAGAACTTCCTTCCCAGAGAACTGGGAAATTGTCCTAGAAATAAACCTTGTACAGTTGAGTGGACATGGATAAGCAACAATTTGTTACTTTGCAGGATTTGTTCCTTGGTAATTGTTTGGTGTGTCATCCTGTAAATATTCATGATAGTCTGTTTATATCCTTTTGTATATCGTTGATACTGGATTGGGTAGAAAAATAAATTGGCAATTTAAAAAAATGGAACAGTTAATTGAAATATGTGTGTTTATAAGGTCAATTATTTAATTTCTGGGCGGGGGGGTGGTGGTGGTGATGTTTCCTGAATCATTTCAATTTAGTCTCAGAGTTGTTGCTTATAAAACCAGAAAGAGTTGAACTTCTTGAGAAGTCAGCTTTTGCCCTTAACCTAGACTGATTTGGTGGGTTTCATGGTAACTCTAAGGAGCCTGAATTCAGAAAGTCTCATTCTTTGTTGTCTTGGCTGACAAAACTAAACAAAGGGTGGAGGTGCTCAAAGCCATCTCTTAACAGAAGTTTCTTTTCTTGCAATAGTGTTTCCAAATGGATCGTATTCCCCTAGGCTAACAGTTACGTCTGTCAACGTTACTTAAATTAATCTGAACTTCACCTCTAGGTAGTTGAGGTACCTCAAACCCCTTCTAGCTCTCCCAAGCCATAGTTACCTTTCTTTACAACCAAATAGCTTAAAACAAAGATGGCTTTCATTCATCAGTTAACAATCCAGCTATGCTTACCAAGCTGCTGGCCATTTTTAAGTAAGCAAAATCTTTATTGTTTTGAGGGGCAAGAAAGGGGATGGATAAACACATACCTCTACAGTTCTGCCATGCTCCTAAGCAGCCTTGGCACAAGTTGCTGTCGTGATGGGCAGGTTGATGTGGAACTAGCTGATCATTCACAAACATTCACTGAGTGTCTCTTATGGCACAACAATTAGAAATAAACTGAACAAGACAGTCCCTGCTCTCAAGGAGTTTATAATCTAATGGGGTATTTGAAACCCACTGTGCATCGGAATCACCAGGAGGGCTTAGTAGCTATGTAGAATCTGGGCTCCACGATAGTGCAGATTTTGCTTCAAGAGGTCTCAGCTGGTTCCCAAGAGATGTAGTTTTTAATAAAAGTCTAAGCAGAATCACATTATGAGAAGGGTTTATTCTAGATCATACTTTAGCATGTATCAGAATCTCTTGAGGAGCTTATTAAAACAGATTTACTGGCCCCACCTCCAGAGTTTCTTTTCCTTCCTTCCATCCTTCCACAGGTTCTTTTTCTCTGTCACCCAGGCTGGAGTGCAGTGACATGATCCTGGCCCACTGTAGCCTTGACCTCTCAGGCTCAAGCAATCCTCCCACTTCAGCCTCCCATGTAGCTAGGATCATAGTGCACACCACCACGCCTGGCCATATTCTCTATTTTTTGTAGACACAATGTCCCACTATTGCCCAGGCTGGTATCAAACTCCTGTGCTTAAGCAATCCACCCACCTCAGCCTCCCAAAGTGCTGGGATTACAGGTGTGAGCCATGGCACCCAGCCTAGAGTTTCTGATTCAGTAAGTCTAGGGTAGGGCCCAATAATTTGCATTTCTGACACATCACCAGGTGATGCTGATGCTGCTAGTCCTGAGACCATACTTTGAGAACCAGTGTTCTAGTGGATTGCTAATGTGTTCTCTCAGATGAGTGTCTGAAGCAATATGAACTATCATTCGCTGTAGAGTTCTTCTATCTGATTCAGTTATTGAAAAGCTTGAAGAGTACAGTTAAATCTCTAGGTAATGCAAGAATGCTGAGCAATGTTCAGGTGTTCAGATACTTATCTTGAAGTTGCAGCAGTGACATGACATGGGTTGCCTTTCCACACCATTCTGTGCTGGTGCGTGTTCCCTTTACCTGAATTTCTATCTTTTTGGCAAAAACTTCCCATTCTTTAGAATGAGCTTAACCGTCATTATCATTAACCATAGCATGTCCTTAGATGTCCTGGTGCTAGCCCACTTTGTCACCCACCTCATTTTGCAGAGCTGTGTGGCTGGACCGCCCTCAAGTGGTCATGCTCTCCCTGCTCACATGTATTTTACCAGATTTTGAGTGTGCCTTATAAGTGATTCTGTTGGTAAAGTGGTTCTGGAAGTCCCATGGAATGCCTGGCAGAGAAACACTGGAAGGTGACCTCTGAATCAGATTTTTACCTTGATAGTCGTTTGAAGATATGTTGACTCTTAGTTGGTTTATCCTTTTACCTCTCAAGCCATTAGTAAGAGTGGTGTGTAGTCTTAAAAAAAATATTAAACGCTAGTCTCTTCCTAACTGTATTATGATGTTTGGTTGCAAGGACACAACCTCTACCTCAATTAGGTTAAGCATAGAAAGGAGAGTTGATTCTGAGGGCACAGGAAAGTTTTGGTGAGCACAAGTGTAGGTTCCAGACCCCAGAAAGAATCTGAAGAGCTCTCATGGTCTCCTTCTCAGCTGTTTTCTGCACATACGTTTTATTCTCCCTCCTTGCTTTCTGCCACTCCATCCAGCTCCCGAGTTTACAATGTAATAAGAGACTGACCAGCTAGTTCTGAATACCAACCAAATTCCTGATTGAAAGAGATTAGCCTAAATGGATGAAATATCCAAGGGTCTAATTAGGCGTGAGGGGCAAGGCCATGGTGTGCCAACATAGCTTCTACAAACCTACCTTTGTTGATCAGGATGAGATGGAGAGTAGGGGCAGTTCCCAGAGCCTCCCAGGATAGAGGACAAAATTTGGGATTCAAGGCCTGCAAAGAGGAGCTGGCAAATCCCCTTGCCTTGGGTTGGGACCCCAAAGTGCTTCACCTTAGGAGGAAGGATGAAGAGGAAGTAGATGCCATAAACTAATTGAGGGAGAATCCTCATTAAATTGGATTGAGATTATCTGTTTGCCAGTATTTCCAGGCCCTGGCAGAAGCTAAATAAATCCTTTCTGAGGAACACAACACCATAGGCCTTCATTATATCTATAAACAAATTTTCAAATACAGTTCTATACACCATTAAAAGTAGCCAGGCTCAGGAAGAGACAGCATAACATGAATGAGAACCAACAAAAGCAATCGACAATAGATTGATCCATAGGGACTCTGCATGAGAGAGTTATCGGAGATTTTAAAATAGTTATTACTGCTATATTCAATGAGACTAAAAATTCTAATTCATTAGAGAACTGGAAGCTACATATTTACATATATAATTTGTGGTTAGGTACTTATAAGCCATTTATATAAAATTTGATAATGAACCATGGAGAAATTCTAGAACAGAAACAGGATAACTAAAAATAAGAGGTCAATGGGTAGATTTAATGGCAGATTAGACATAGCTGAAGAAAATGACTGAAGATAGGTCAGAAGAAACTATCCAGAATAAAGCTTTGAAAGTCAAAAATATTAAAATACAGAAGATAGATTAAAATAGATGATACAGTGAGAAAATGTATAAGTGTAATTGGAATCCTGGAAGGAGAGGGAGATCTAATGGAACAGAAGCAGTTTTGAAGATACGAAACAGAGAACTTTCCAAACTTGAGACATCAAGCCACAGATTGAAAAAGCTTTATGAGCCCTAAACAGATAAATAAAAAGAACCCACACTGAGCTACATCATAGTAAAGGCACTAAAAACCAAAGACAAAGTCTTCAAAGTAGAGAGAAAAAAAGACCACTTTTATTTTATTTTTGAGACAGGGTCTCGCTCTGTTACCCAGGCTGGAGTGTAGTGACATGATCTTGGCTCACTGCAGCCTTGACCTCCCAGGCTCAAGCAGTCCTCTCACCTAAGGCCCCTAGTAGCTGGGACTATAGGCATGTGCCCCCGTGCCTGGCTAATTTTTAAATTTTTTGTAGGAACAGGTTCTCACCATGTTTCCCAGGCTGATCTCGAACTCCTGGGCTCAAGTGATCCCGCCTCTGCCTCCCAAAGTGCTGGGATTACAGGTGTAAGCCATTGTGCCTGGCCAAAGGCCACTTTCAAATGAGCAGCAATTCTCAACAAAAACAACTGAAGACAACGAAATGGACATTTTAAAGTGCCGAAAGGACTCTACTAACCTAGAATTTTATACCCAGCATTAATCTTTTAAAATGGTGGGGAAATAAAGACTTTTTTTTCAGACAAACAATACCTGAGAGATTTCAACAATAGCTGAGAGATTTCATTATAAGGATAGATACGTTGAAAGTAAAAGGATAGGAAAAGATAAACATGCAAACACTAAATGAAAGCTGGTATAGCTATGTAAGTTTTTGACAAAGTACACTTTAAGACAGAAAGCCTTACTAGAGATAAATAGGGACACCTCAAAATAATAAAAGATTTTTTAAAAAAGGTTCATTTAATATGATACAGTTCTTTTTTTTTTTTCTTTTGTTGAGACGGAGTCTTGCTCTGTTGCCCAGGCTGGAGTGCAGTGGCACAATCTCGGCTCACTGCAAGCTCCGCCTCCTGAGTTCACGCCATTCTTCTGCCTCAGCCTCCCGAGTAGCTGGGACTACTGGCGCCCACCACCATGCCCGGCTAATTTTTTTTTTTATTTTTAGTAGAGACAGGGTTTCACTGTGTTAGCCAGGATGGTCTCGATCTCCTGACCTCGTGATCTGCCCGCCTCAGCCTCCCAAAGTGCTGGGATTACAGGCGTGAGCCACTGTGCCTGGCCAATATGATACAGTTCTAAATGTTAATGCAACTTCTGTAACCTCTAAGTACATAAAGCAGTATGGGCAAAAGATGAACAGATGCTTCAAAAGAGTTTATCCCAATGGCCTGTAAGAGAAATAAGCACCCTTAGTTATTAGGAAAATACAAACTTAAAATGTAATGAGACACCACTACATACCCTGATACGGTTGGCTCTGTGTCTCCACCCAAATCTCATCTTGTAGCTCCCATAATTCTCACGTGTTACGGGAGGGACCCAGTGGGAGATAATTGAATCATAGAGCAGGTCTTTCCTGTGCTGTTCTTGTGATAGTGAATGAGTCACGTGACATCTGAGGGCTTTAAAGACAGGAGTTTATCTCCACAAGCTCTCTCTTTGCCTGCCGCCATCCACCTAAGATGTGACTTGCTCCTCCTTGCCTTCCACCAGGATTGTGAGGCTCCCCCAGCGACATGGAACTGTGAGTTCTCCATTAAGCCTCTTTCCTTTGTAAATTGCCCAGTCTCGGGTTTGTCTTTATCAACAGCATGAAAACAGATTAATACAGTAAATTGGTACCAGTAGAGTGAGGTGCTGAAAAGATACCTGAAAATGTGGAAGTGACTTTGGAACTGGGTAACAGGCAGGGGTTAGAACAGTTTGGAGGGTTCAGAAGAAGACAGGAAAATGTGGGACAGTTTGGAACTTACTTGAGACTTGTTGAATGGCTTTGCCCAAAATGTTGATAGTGATATGGACGATATAGCCCAGGCTGAGGTGGTCTCAGATGGAAATGAGGAACTTGTTGGGAACTGGAGCAAAAGTGACTCTTCTTATGTTTTAGCAAAGAGACTGGTGGCATTTTGCCCCTGCCTTCGAGATTTGTGAAACTTTGAACTTGAGAGAGATTATTTAGGGTATCTGGTGGAAGAAATTTCTTCTTTTTTTTTTTTCGAGAGGGAGTCTTGCTGTGTTACCCAGGCTGGAGTGCAGTCTCATGATCTCGGCTCACTGCAGCCTTCACCTTCTGGGTTCAAGTGATTTTCCTGCCTCAGCCTCCCAAGTAGCTGGGACTACAGGCACACGCCACCATGCCTGGCTAATTTTTGTAATTTTAGTAGAGACAGGTTTTCACCATATGGGTCTGGCTGGTCTGTAACTCCTGACCGCAGGTGATTCTACCCACCTCGGCCTCCCAAAGTGCTGGGATTACAGGTATGAGCCACCATGCCCAGCCAGTGGAAGAAATGTCTAAGCAGCAAAGCATTCAAGAGGTTACTTGGGTTCTGTTAAAGGCATTCAGTTTTAAAAGGAACACAGAGCATAAAAGTTTGGAAAATTTGCAGCCTGACAATGTGATAGAAAAGAAAATCCCATTTTTTGAGGAGAAATTCTAGCTGGATGGAGAAATGTGCATAATGAGAAGCCAAATGTTAATCCCCAAGACAATGAAGAAAATGTTTCCAGGGCATGTCAGAGATCTTTGTGGCAGCCCCTCCCATCACAGGCCTGGAGATTTAGAAGGAAAAAATGGTTTCGTGAGCCAGGCTTAGGCTCCCTCTGCTATGTGCAGTCTAGGGACTTGGTGCCTGCATCCCAGCTACTCCAGCCATGACTAAACGGGGCCAAGGTACAATGCAAGCTGTTGCTTCAGACAGTGGAAGCCCCAAACCTTGGCAGCTTCCACATGGTGTTAAGCTTGTGGGTGCACAGAAGTCAAGAATTAAGGTTTGGGAATCTCCACCCAGATTTCAGAGGAGGTATGGAAACACCTGGATGCCAAGGCAGAAGGTTGCTGCAGGCGTTGGGCCCTCATGAAGAACCTCTGCTCAGGAAGTGCAGAAGGAAAATGTGGGGTTGGAGGCCCCACACAGAGTCCCTAGTGGGGCACTGCCTAGTGAAGCTGTGAGAAGAGGGCCACAATCCTCTAGACCCCAGAATGGTAGATCCACTGACAGCTTGCACCATGTGCCTGGAAAAGCTGCAGACATTCAGTGCCAGCCTGTGAAAGCAGTCAGGAGGTGGGCTGTACCCTGCAAAGCCACAGGGGTGGAGCTGCCCAAGGCTGGGGGAGCCCACCTTTTGCATCAACGTGACCTGGGTTTGAGACATGGCGTCAAAGGAGACCATTTTGGAGCTTTAAAATTTGACTGCCCCACTGCATTTGGGACTTGCATGAGGCCTTTGTTTCGGCCAATTTCTCCCATTTGGCATGGCTGTATATACCTAATACCTGTACTCCCATTGTATCTTGGAAGTAACTAGCTCACTTTTGATTTTACAGGCTTATAGGTGGAAGGGACTTGCCTTGTCTCAGATGAGACTTTGGACTGTGGACTTTTGAGTTAATACTGAAATGAATTAAGACTTTGGGGGTCTGTTGGGAAGGCATGACTGGTTTTGAAATGTGAAGACATGTGATTTGGGAGGTGCCAGGGGCAGAATGATATGATTTGGCTCTGTATCCCCACCCAAATCTCATCTTGTATCTCCCATAATTCCCATGGGCTGTGGGAGGGACCCAGTGGGAGATAACTGAATCATGGGGGCGGGTCTTTCCTTTGCTGTTCTCGTGATAGTGAATAAGTCTCATGACATCTGATGTCTTTAAAAACAGGAGTTTGCCTGTACAAACTCTCTTCACCTGCCGCCATCCACGTAAGATGTGACTTGCTCCTTCTTGCCTTCTACCATGATTGTGAGGCCTCCCCAGCCACGTGGAACTGTGAGATCTCCATTAAACCTCATTCCTTCGTAAATTGCCCAGTCTCGGGTTTGTCTTTATGAGCAACATGAAAACAGACTAATACACACCCATTACAAAGGCTAAAAATAAAAGGATTGATAATAACGGGTGTTGATGAGGATGTAGAACAACTAAAACTCTCATATAATTGCTGGAAGGAGGGAAAAAATGGGCAATATCTACTAAAGCTAAACATGTGCCTACCCTGTGACCTATCGGTTCTGCTAATTGGTAAATGTCCAAGAGAAATGAGTGCATATGCCCACCAAAAGTCATGTTTACTAGGATGCCTCTAAGCAGGAGTTTTCACAATAGTCCCCAATGAGAGACAATTGAAATGTTCATCAACAGTAGAATAAAGTGTGCTATACTTTTACGGTGCAATGTTACTTAGCAATCAAAAGAATGAACTACTGCTAAATGTAACAATGTGAATGGAGCTCACAGACACTAAGCCAAAGAAGCCAGACACAAAGGAATATCTAATGTATGATGACATTTATATGCATATTGAGAACAGGTGGAATTTAATGGTGATAGAAGTCAAAGTAGTGGTAATGGGGAAGGAGGCAGTATATTGACTTTGTGGAAGGGCATGAGGAAAACTTCTGAGGTGCTGGAAACGTCCATATATTGATTTGAGTTATGGGGGTGTATACATATAAAAATTCATTGAATTGCATGTGCAAAATTTGTGTACTTTATGTATGTTGCTTTGGTAAAAAAAAAATACATAAAAACTGACAGAACAGGCTGGGTGTGGTGGCTCACGCTTGTAATCCCAGCACTTTGGGAGGCCGAGGCGGGCTGATCATTTGAGGTCAGGAGTTCGAGACCAGCCTGGCCATCATGGTGAAACCCCATCTTTACTAAAAATACAAAAATTAGCCCGGTTTGGTGGTGTGCACCTGTAATCCCAGCTACTCGGGAGGCTGAGGCAGAAGAATCACTTGAACCTGGGAGGCAGAAGTTGCAGTGACCCAAGATCACACCACTGCACTCCAGCCTAGGTGACAGACCAAGACTCTGTCTAAATTTAAAAAAAAAAAAGAAGTTATTTTCCACACCTCTTGGTAACTGATAGAAGTAGACTTTGGAAATCAGTAAGGATGTAGAATATCTGAATGACATAGTCAGCACAGTTGACCTATGGGACACATGAGGAGCACTGCACCTAACTACTGGAGTCCAAGCATTCTTTTCAAGCTCATCTTGAACATTTACAATTCTGGTTATATGTTGGTCTATAAAGTAAGTCTCGGTCTCAAAGGATTAACATCATTTAAAATTGTGTCTATAAGGCAATTGAAGTAGAGATCAATTTTAAATGATAATTAGAGCATTCCATATGTTTTGAAAGTAAGGTACATTTTAAATCACCTATGGGTCAAAGGAGAAATCACATAGGTAGAAGTTAGGAAAAAATATTTTTCAATGAGTGATAATAAAAATACGTATTGAGGCCGGATGCAGTGGTTCACACTTATAATCCCAGCACTTTGGGAGACCAAGGCAGGTGGATCACCTGAGGTCAGGAGTTCAAGACCAGCCTGGCCAACGTGGTGAAATCCCATCTCTACTACAAATACAAAAATGTGCTGGGTGGTGGTGACGCTCACCTACTTGGGAGGCTGAGGCAGAAGAATCATTTGAACCTGGGAGGCGGAGGTTGTGGTGAGCCAAGATTGCACCACTGCACTCCAGCCTGGAGGCAGAGTGAGACCTTGTCTCAAAACAAACAAAAAAGAAAGAAATTTGTGAGATATAGCAAAAGCCATGCTTAGAGGGAAATTTATACCCTTAAGTGCATATGTTAGAAAAGAAGAAAGGCTGGATGTCAGTGAGGTAAGTGTCTCAAAAAGCTAGAAAATTGATTTAATCCCTTTAGTTTTTACCACTTTTGTACCTTTCCAATACACATGTCATAATGTATGATTAGTGTGAATTGGCTTGCCCTCTTTTCCAAAGGTCTATGAGTTCTTTGGATTTAGGGATCGTGTCTTTCTCTTTATATCCCTAGTGCCTATTAAAGTACCTTGTACACAGTTGATATTTGTTTGGACTGAATGGAACTCCTCATCATCAGTGTCTTGGAGCTGTTACACACCCAGGGTCTTAGACTTAAGTGTTCACAAAAGCCAGACAATTGATGAGGTGAGTGAGGCCAGCTGGTCAGGGAACAGCATACTGGAGAGCGTGTGGAAGGCTGCTGTTGCTGCTTGGCCCCAGCTGCTGTTGTTGCTATGGGAGAGTGCTGGCCCAGTGTGGCTAGAGCTCCCTATTTGTTTACAAGAACGAGGCCAGGCGGCTCATGCCTTTAATCCCAGGACTTTGGGAGGCCGAGGCTGGAGGACTGCTTGAGCCCAGGAGTTGGAGACCAGCCTGGGCAACATGGCGAAACCTTGTCTCTACAAAAACTACAAAAAGTAGCTGGGAATGGTGGCGTGTGCCTGTAGTCCCAGGTACTCAGGAGGCTGAGGCAGGAGGATCACTTGAGTCTGTGGTGGGGTGGGGTGGGGTGGGGTTGGGGGAGGCAAGGCTGCAGTAAGCCATGTTCACACCGCTGCATTCCAGCCTGGGCAACAGAGTGAGACCCAGTCAAAAAAAAAAATTGCATTTCGATACAAAATCTCCCTTTTTGAAGTGTTGGCAACTAATTAATTCAAAACAAAACAATGAATGTCAAACTAAACTACATAGCCTATTACTGCCAGTTTACAACTTCTGTTTTATTTCCTACCTTAAGAGGTGGGAATGTGTTTTACATCTGAATATTCCAGTCAGTAGTCTCTTGAGCGGCCTCCTCCATCAGGCACACTTCTCCTTGAAGAAAAGACTCCTGACTAGGTCCTAATTGGATTTCTGGGCCCTATCTGTAAGAAGTTTGCAGGGTTTTTAAAGCCTTCTTTGTAGTTGGCTGTTCACCCCAGCTGAATCAGACATGTGCTCCCAGAGATTTTTTTTCCCTCCTTTTGTTGTAACATTCTTAATGATGCGTTCTGACTTTTTCACTCTGTTTTCCTCACATTTGTCACCACTTTTGCTTTTGGATCTTCATGCTGGAAAATCTGAGGCTTACATGGAAGATTGATTTTTAATGCCCCTTGCGTTGTTTTTCTGCTGGAACATTTGCATGCAATTATGACATTTTAAAAATAAGAGACTATGGGGCTTGAAAAAAGAATCTTCTGGGCGGATGAGCAAATGGAAAGACTGGCCTTTAATTCTGTTAACATCCCAATTACATCGTGGTAACCCTTGTGACGATTTCTGTCCCTTGTAATGCAACACCTGGTTTTTGTTCTAGGGACAAGGACCAAGCCTGGCTCACTCAACCCTTGCTCAATCATGGAAGAGGTGATTGGAAGGCTTGTGTTTTCCACTGGCCAGCAGAGGTCACTATTTCAAAGTGGTTAGAGGAAAAGTTGTCTGCTGTCCACACCATTTCTCTTTGGTTTGGGGGAGGTTTTATTCACAGTACTGGTGGGTTATTTTTTTAGTCATACTTCTCTATATTTTCCAAATGTTCTACACAATGAATTATTTGCATATAGTATATTGAAAAGTGCTGATGACTTGAGTAGGCTTCTGTGTGGCTAGTTGCTTATGGAGTGACAGTAACTACTATTTATTGAGCACTTACTATGTGCTGGACCCTGTGTTCCTCATTTTACAGGCATTATCTTTAACAGCAATCTATCCTCCAGGGTCGTTGTGAGGTTACTTCAGAGGAGCTTGAGGGGAGGAGAAGTGAAATGATGTGCCTAAGGATACACAGCTAGAAGAGACAGATTCATATACAGGGAGATATGTCTTCAAAACCAAACTCGAGTTTCTTGAGAGCTATATTTTTTTCCCCCAAAGGAGAACTATTTTAGCAGCTTGAAGCAGCAATCGCCAAAAATGTATGAGAGGAGTATGTATTTTTGAAGCAAAATCTTAGAGATTGACTTTTTTTTTTTTTTTTTTTTTTCAAAATTCAGCCACTATCTGCTTGAAGAAGCTAGGTGTTGCTTCTTGGTCTTCTTTGAAAATGGAACCTGGGGTGTTCTGTCAGGCTTTGCTCCTTCTCCAGATGAAAACAAATATTAGGAGTGCGTTGTTTCAAAAAAATGTCCTGAGCTTAAGACCTCTTTAGTGAGTAGAGTTTACTAAGAGATTTATTATTTCAGTTTACAAGGCCAACTGAAAACCTCTTAACTTGAAAAGATATAGACTGTTTGTGAATGAAAAGATAAATCTGTTTTAGTGGACTTTTATTTGTATTTTAAAATTAACCACCAGGATTTTCCATAAAGCTAGAGTGTTAAGAGAAGACAATTGTGTTCGTCACTGGACAATGAGTGGTCAATTTGACCCTCCTCTTCTCACTGAGGAGGTGATATGAGAATAGTAAGAAAAGGCTTTGGCCAGGCACAGTGGCTCACGCCTATAATCCCAGCACTTTGGGAGGCTGAGGCGGGCGGATCATGAGG
The DNA here is from genome assembly GCF_000001405.40 of Homo sapiens. Classification (NCBI taxonomy): domain Eukaryota; kingdom Metazoa; phylum Chordata; class Mammalia; order Primates; family Hominidae; genus Homo; species Homo sapiens. Next base: position 53,753,806 of record NC_000001.11, on the reverse strand, counting down.
TCAGGAGTTTGAGACCAGCCCGGCCAACATGGTGAAACGCTGTCTCTACTAAAAATACAAAAATTAGCTGGGCATGGTGGCGGGCGCCTGTAATCCCAGCTACTTGGGAGGCTGAGGCAGGAGAATTGCTTGAAACTGGGAGGAGGAGGTTGCCGTGAGCCGAGATTAGACCAGTGCACTCCAGCCTGGGTGAAAGAGTGAAACTCCGTCTCAAAAAAAATAAAAAAGAAAAAAAAAGGAAAAGAAAAGGCTTTATATTTGGGGGGCTGCCACAAAAGACATTGGATTCTGGAGTCTTACAAACTTGTCTGGTGTACTGCTCTCCATTATTCCTATTTCAAAATGTTTAATGTCTTGTGGTTGTTATTAACGATATAATGACTATTAGAATAGAAAACCTTATTGCCTTTTAGATCTTCTCAGTTAACTGATAAGAAGAAGCTGGCTTATCTTTGTTGTCAGCAAATATTTAGCAAGCTTTCACAGGGATAGCAAGCGGCTCCAATAGTAATATTTGTGCATGGAGCAAATGCACCTGGATTCCAATTAGAGGCAAAGTGACATAGTTAAAAGGGCACAGACTTAGCATTCATTTACTCATTCATTCAATCATTCATATGTATGCTAGGCCTAGGGTGCTAGACACTATTCTGGGTGCTGGGAACACAACAGTCAACAACACAAATGAGCTTACCCTTCTAGTGGGTGGAGAGAGAATGAATATAAACAAATGCAATGTGGTGGTGAGTGCACTGAGGAACAAGTAGACAGTAAATAGTAGAGTGGCTTTCCATTTTATTTGTATTTTTATTTTTTGAGACAGGGTCTCACTCTGTTGCCCAGGCTGGAGTGCAGTGGTGTGATCACAGCATGATCATAGCTCACTGCAGCCTCCATCTCCTGGGCTCAGGCGATCCTCCTGCTTCAGCTTCTTGAATGGCTGGGACTACAGTCACATGCTACTACACCCAGCTAATTTTTTGTAGAGATGGAGTCTCACCATGTTGCCCAGGCTGGTCTCAAACTCCTGGGCCCAAGTGATCCTCTCACCTTGGCCTCCCAAAGTGTTGGGATTACAGGCATGAGCCACCGCACCTGGCTGGTTTTCCATTTCAGATAGGGTGGTCCAGGAAGGTCCCCCGATAAAATGATGTTTGGGCAGAGACCTGAATGAGGTAAGGGAGAGAATATGTAGGTACCTGAGGGGTGAGTTCCAAAACACAGAACGGTCCCAAGGCAGGCATATACCTGATAAGTTCAAGGGATAGCAAAGAGGGCAGGGTGGCCAGGCGCAGTGGATGAGGTGGAGTGTGGTAATGTGAACAAGATGGGGGCCAGGACAAGCTCACTCAGGCCAGGTAGGCTACAGGAAGGACCTTGCTCCCGCTTCGAGTCAGGGACAGCCATTGGGAAGTTCTGAGCAAAGGAGTAAGATGTGTTGAATTACCTTTAAGAAATAATTTAGTCTGACTGTTCTGTGGAAAAGAGACTGGAGACCGTGGGTGGCAGGCAAGAATGAAAGAAGGTTAGGAGACCACTGCTGTAACCAGATGAGAGAGGATGGTGGCTGGGCCCAGGGTGAGATGCAGACAGATTTGATCTATTTTGAAGGAAGAGGTGACAAGCACTGCTGGTGGAATGGTTGTGGAGTGTGAAAGAGAAAGTCGCTAGTATTGACTCCAAGGTTTTTGGCCTGAGCAGCTGGTAGAATGGAACTGCCATTTAGTGAGATGGAGGAAGCAAGATGGGTTAGTTAAGTCTGGCTGCATGTAAATGAAAACTCAGAATAATGGTGATTTAAGTGACACAGTTATTTTTTTTTTCTCACATAAAAGAAGATCCAGAAATAGGCTGTCCAGAATGGCTATGGTGACTCCCTGAGGTTATCAGGGATTCAGGCTCATTCTAGCTCTCCACGTAGCCAGCCCCAAGGTGTGGTCCTGACTCTTGTGGTCCCACATGGCTCCTGGAACCACAGCCTTCATGCCTTCCTTCCAGGCAACAGGAAGAAGGAAGGGGAGGGAAAATAGCATCCTCCCTCCCTTTTAGGAACACTTCCTGAAAGTGCACATACTTAACGCTTAGCATCTCATTGGCCAAAGTGGTCCCATGGCCACATCTGGTTGCAAGGGAGTCTAGGAAATGTCTTTTAGAGGTTGATTGTAACCCATTAATAGAATTGGGGTTCTGCTACTGGAGAAAAATGAAAGGATGAATATAAAGGTAGGCTTCCAGCTGTCTCTGAGAGTTGGGTTTCGGAAATAATGAGTTCTAGTCTTATCTCTGGCACTATCTAGCTCTGTGAACTTCAGCTAAGATTTCACATCACTTATCTATTTCGACTGAAAAATCAAAGAATTGGACTGAATGATTTTGAAGTTCCCTTCTAACTGTAACATTGCATGAGTGTTTGAATTTGGGATGCAGTAAGGTAAGTTTGGTTTCATAAAAGAAATAAAATGTCTTTGAAGAGCGGATTATGCGAGATGTCTATTAAACGTCTTAAAACTGATTTTTTAATTGAAAAATTCATTTCAAACTTATTCATGAATACAATTCCATTCCTCTATTTATTAAAATGCTTTCTGGATACAGGTCTAGATGACTTTAATATGTGCCTGGAAAACAGCATAGGAATTACATAATACTAGTGTGTACTGGATGAGTCTTCTGTTTATTTTATAAGAAACATTTTAAATAAAAATAATCAACTATTCTGTTCCTTACTCCATATATGCATTTGGTTCAGCCTCATTTACCAACTTGTTGATCTGTTGAATCAATTTTGTACATGGGTTCATATCCACAAATTGCTGAACATGTTCGATACACATACAAAGTCCCTGCCTTCAAGGGGTCTGCAGTTTATTAGTGGGAATACAGTAAATACACAAATGGGTAAGTAACACAGCAGAGAATAGGTGCTCTGAGAAGGGCAATGACTCCACAGTTCACAGGAAGGAGTTATGGTGAAGGCTTTGTGCTTTTGGTGTTTGGTTGGGAGGGGAAGCCTTAAGTGGAGAAGGGGCCACTTGGAGATCTGGGTGGGCTGGGATGGGAGTGGTCAGCCAGGAAGGCATTCTAGGGGAAAGGAGAGGAAGGGACAGGTGACAGAGAATGGTCCAGATCAGCTGGAGATGAGGTGTGGTAGTGTGGTGGAAAGATGGTGGTATTTAGGGTCAAGCCTGACTCTGCCACTTGCTGGTTCTGAGGTCTTGAGCAAGTCACTTAGCCTCCTTGGGATCTCACTTCCACATCTGTAATAGGAAACAATACTACCCTGTTCATACGACTGTCCTGTGTATTGCTGTATGTACACAGCATTGTCTGCATTAATGTATGGAAAAGCACCTGCCACAGGGCCTGGGACTGTGTGCTTCCATAATAAGTAACAGGCCCTTCCTTACATATCTATAGCAAATATTGTCCGTTATAATTGTTTAAGCTATCAGATCTTATTGTCCTCATTAGCAGCATTTGACATGCATATTATAGTAAGTCTGATTCTGTTTCTCTATAAAGACAGTGATGAGCTGAGAGCCAATGAAAGTTTCTCTAGAAAAGCCATTGCAGCGATGAGCATGAGGAAGAGATATAGCTTAATGACTTGGTAATGGTGATGTTGACTTTGCTTCTGGAAACCACCACTGAGGACTAAGAATGCCTTGGGCCTCCCAGGGGAGGTTCCAAACCCTAAAACTGCTATTTTCCTAGATGCCCAGACATTGCTTCCCTTCACTCCCATCACCCAGGTGTATTAAGTTTGCCTCCTAAATAAAGCTATGTCCCAGCCACTTCTCCTGGAGTCCAGGCTCCTCATCTTTGGGACTTCTGACTGTGCATTCAGCACCTACTCTTGCCTCTTTCTTAGCCCATTTCCCACATGACACTGGAATGCTACTTTCTTTTTACTTTTCTTTCTTTCTTTCTTTCTTTTTTTTTTGAGACAGGGTCTCGCTCTGCTGCCCAGGCTGAAGTGCAGTGGCACAATCACGGCTCACTGCAGCTTTGACTTCCTGGGCTCCAGCAATCCTCCCACCTCAGCATCCCGAGTGGCTGAGACCACAGGTGTGTGTCACCACACCTGGCTAAATTTTTAAATCTTTTGTAAAGACAGGGTTTCACCATGTTGCTCAGGCTGGTCTCGAACTCCGGGGCTCAACTAATCCTCCCATCTGGGCCTCCCAAAGTGGTAGGATTACAGTTGTGAGCCACTGCACCTGGCCTTTTCTTTCTTCCTTCCTTCCTTTTCTTTCTTTCTTTCTTTCTCTCTCTCTCTCTCTCCTTTCTTCCTTCCTTCCTTCCTTTTCTTTCTTTCTTTCTTGAGATGAGGTCTCGTCCTGTCACCCAGGCTGGAGTGCAGTAGTAGGATCAAAGCTTACTTACTGTAGCCTTGAACTCCTGGGCTCAAGCAATCCTCCTGCCTCAGTCTCCTGACTAGCTGGGACTACAAGTGCATGCCACGACACCTGGCTACATTTTTTCATCATTTTTTGAGACAGAGTCTCACTATGTTGCCCAGGCTGGTCTTGAACTGCTGGTCTTAAGTGACCCTCCCACCTCAGCCTCCCAAGTAGGTAAGATTACAGGCATTGGCCACCGTACCTGGCTTGGAATGGTATTTTCAGAACAGATCTGATCATCAGTCTCCAGGTAAAATCCTTCATTCCTTTAGCATCCAGACCTTGCCCTTCCTCAGTCTCATCTGATGCCCTCCTGCCCTTCACTCTGTGGCTCCAGTCACACTGCCCTTCTTTTGCTGCCTGGAAGTGATCTTAGTTCCTTTAGTTTCAGGGCTTTCGGACATCGTCCTCTATCTAGCTGGAAAGCTTTCCCTCAATGCCACAACCAGTAACTTCTCCTCCTCACAGAGTCTAGTTTATTTTTTAAATTTTTATTTGTTTATTTATTTTTGAGACAGAGTCTCGCTCTGTCAGCCAGGCCAGAGTGCAGTGGCATGATCTCGGCGCACTGCAACCTCTGCTGCCCGGGTTCAAGCAATTTTCCTGCTTCAGCCTCCCGAGTAGCTGGGACTACAGGACCCGCCACCACGCCTGGCTAATTTTTGTATTTTTAATAGAGACGGGGTTTCGCCATGTTGGCCAGGCTGGTCTCAAACTCCTGACCTTGTGAACTGCCCGCCTTGGCCTCCCAAAGTGCTGGGATTACAGGTGTGAGCCACCGTGCCCAGCCGTAGAGTCTAGTTTAATGATCACCTCCACAGGAAAGCCTTCCTGGACCCCATAGATGGGGTCAGGCCTCCAGTCCCCTTCCTCATTTCCCACCCTCTCATAGCATGGAGCATTCTCCCTTAGGGTCTTATCATTTGTGATGATGCATTCATTTGTATGATTAGTTGAATACTCTGTGTCCACAGAGAAGCTCCATGAATCTCTGGCGCCCAGGACAGTGCTGAGTACATTGTAGGTATTCAACCAATATTGTTGGATGAGAATAGAGACTGCTGGGATCCAGACCTTGGTGCCTCCTCCTTGCATTCTTAGCCATTGTGTTTTGACCTCTCTGAATGAGGTTTTGAAGGGCCTGCACCTCCTTCAATAAGTTCTTCATCTACTTTATTAACGTGCATTTATTCAATCATCATTCGCTGAGTGTGCGTGGGCACCACGCATGGGCTCGGTCCTGAGGCTACTGTGACAAAGAATTCCTGCCTCCAAGGAGTTCCCCAGCATTGAGAAGGCTTGGAGCTAGGAGAGCCACATGGTTGGATGGGTGATTTAGGAAGATTGCTCTGGCTGTAGGGAGAATGGACTGGAGGGGCCAGGCTGGAGGCAGGGAGACCAATGGGAAGCTGGCCCCGTGATTCAGGATGGACATGATGGGGCCTCACGAGGGCCACTGCTGTGGTGGTGGAGAGCAGGTGCTCAGAAGGCAGGAATCACAGCCTTGGTGTCTGAAGGGGCGGGTAGGGAGAAAGGAGCCTGGGATAACCCATCAGATCCTGGTTTGGAGGGGTCATCACTCATGTAAGAGAAAACACAGGATGAGGAGGGAAGAAAGGAGGAGAAACAGGAAATGAGTTGGGAAGAACCTGGCTTCCCAAGCCATTTAATTTTCCATTTTGAGAGCGATTCTGATTAACCTAAAGTTTCATTCAGAAGAGAGTCTACTTTTAGGAATAATCAAGTTGACTCTTTTAAATTGTATATATTCTTTTGCCAATACCACGCTGTCTTGATTACTGTGGCTTTATAGTGAGGTATATTTTTTTAGACAGGGTCTTACTCTTGCACAGGCTGGACTGCAGTGGCACTATCAGGACTCATCACTGCAGCCTCAACCTCCTCGGCTCAAGTGATCCTCCTGCCTCAGCCCCAAGAGGCTGGGACTATAGGCATAAGCCACCGCATCTGGCCTATGGTGAGTTTTAAAATCAGATAGTGAGTTCTCCAACTCTGTTCTTTTTCAAAATTGTTTTGGCTATCCTAGTTCCTTTGCCTTTCCAAATAAATTTTCCAGTTGGCTTATTGATTACTAACAACAAAAAAATCCTGCTGGGATTTCAATTGAAGTTGTATTGAGTCTCTAGATTAATTTGGGGCAAATTGACATCCTAACAATATTGAGCTTTCCAAACCAGGAAAACAGTATACCTTTTCTTTTAATTTAGGTCTTCTTTGATTTCTTTTGTGAGTGTTTTGTGGTTTTCAGCAAATTCTGTACATATTTTCTTAGATTTATATCTAATTTTTCAGTGCTATTATAAATGGTACTTTGAAAAATTTTAATTTCTAAGTGTTTATTGCTAGTATATATAAATACAATGGACTTTTAAATATTAAACTTGTATCTTGCAACCTTGATAAACTAATTGATTAGTTCTAGGAGGTTTTTTCTTTTTCGTAGATCTCATGGAATTTTCTACATAGACAATTATGTCACTTGCCAATAGGGAGTTTTGTTTCTTCCTTTTCAGCCTATATGCTTTTTATTCTTTTATTTTTTTTTCTTGCCTTACTGCACTTTCTGGGACTTCTAGTATGCTGTTGAATAGGAATAGTGAAAGCAGGAATCTTTACCTTGTTCCTGATCTTGGGGAACTTAGTCTTTACAGTAAGTGTAGTGGTAAATATGTGATGTTAGCTGTAGGTTTTGGTGGTGGTGGGAGGATTGTTTTTGTTCTGTGTTGTTGTTGTTGTTGTTGTTAGATATCCTTTAGCTAGGTAAGAAAGTTTTCCTGCATTCCTAGTTTAAATTGGTTCTTATTTTCTAATCATATGAGTTTTTACCTAAAACATCCTTAGGGGCCCTTTGTGACTGTGTTCTATTGTTCTATACTGGGATTCTTCAGGGTTTTGTTTTGTTTTTGACAGTGCATCTTCAGGTTATAAGATGAACACCAGAAATTGTGGGAGAGGTAACTGGGGTATTTCATTAATCATCATTATCATCATCTCTCATTTTGATTTTACTTTTTCCACCTTTGCATTGAGTCTCTATGGAAGCTCCGGTGGGTCAGGTATTGTCATCTTTATTTGGCAGGTTCAGTGTTCAGAATGCAAGTGTGGTGACTTGCCATCCCTCAGCTTGATAGCACCAGAGTCACAACCATTATAGATGCCATTCTATGGGCTGTCCTCAGTGAATGCCCACAAAGTGCAGTGAAGGAAGCCTAGCTCTGGGCTCAGGCAGATACTCTTTTTTATTTTCATTAAGTTAATTGTTTTGTAGTTGCAGTAAAGTTCATATAACATAAAATTAACCATTTAAAAGTGAACAATTAGGCCAGGTGTAGTGGCTCATGCGTGTAATCCTGGCACTTTGGGAGGCTGAGGCAGGAGGATTGCTTGAACTCAGGAGTTCAAGACAAGCCTGGGCAACATACTGAGACCCCATCTCTAAAAAATAAAATAAAATAAAATAAAATAAAATAAAATAAAATAATAAAATAAAAATGAACACTTGAGTAGCATTTAATGTATTCACAATGTTGCACAACCATCACCTCTATCAAGTTCCCCCAAATCTGTCTTACTCCAAAAGGCAAACCATACCCATTGAGCAGATACATTGACCCTTCCCCCAGGCCCTTGCAACCACCAACCTGTTTTCTGTCTCTGTGGATTCTGGATATTTCATATAAATGGAATCATACAATATGTGACCTTTGTGTGTCTAGCTTATTTCACTTACCATGTTTTTGAGGTTTATCCACACTGCAGCATCTATCAGTATTTCATTCCTTTTTTTTTTTTTTTTTTTTTTTTTTGAGATGGAGTCTCGCTCTGTCACCCAGGCTGGAGTGCAGTGGCACTATATCAGCTCACTGCAACCTTCGCCTCCGGGGTTCAAGCAATTCTCCTGCCTCCGCTTCCTGAGTAGCTGAGATTACAGGCACCCGCCACCACGCCCAGCTAATTTTTGTATTTTTAGTAGAGACGGGGTTTCGCTATGTTGGCCAGACTGCTCTTGAACTCCTGATCTCAGGTGATCCACCCACCTCAGCCTCCCAAAGTGCTGGGATTACAGGCGTGAGCCACTGTGCCTAGCCTACTTCATTCCTTTTTATGGCTGAATACTATTCCACTGTATGTATAACCACAATTTATTTGCCTATTCATCTGTTGATGAACATTTGGGTTTCCACCTTTTGGCTATTGCAAATAGAGCTGCTGTGTACATGCATGTACATGTATTTGTTTGACTCCCTGTTTTCAGTTTTATATATCTAGGAGCGGAATTGCCGGGTCATATTATACTTTTATCTTTAACTTTTTGAGGAATTGCCAAACTGTTTTCCAAAGCGACTGAATCAGACAGGCGTGGTGCCTCATACCTGTAATCCCAGCACTTTGGGAGGCCGAGGGGGTGGATCACCTGAGTTCAGGAGTTTGAAACCAGCAGGGCCAACATGGTGAAACCCCATCTCTACTAAAAAATACAAAGTGGCTGAACCATTTTACATTTCCACCAGCAATGTTTGAGGGTTCCTATTTCTCCACATCCTCACCAACACTCATTTTTTTTTATGATTCCTCATCATTCAACTTGAGACATTCCTTTTATTCAGTTATATCATCCTATTGGATGTGAAGTGATATTTTATTGTGTTTTGTTTTTATTTATTTAAAAAATTTAAAAAAATTTTTGGAGATAGGGTCTCACTATGTTGCCCAGGCTAGAGTGCAGTGGCTATTCACAGACGTGATCATCAGCACTGCAGTCTCGAACTCCTGGCCTCAAGCAATCTTCCTACCTCAGCTTCTCTAGTAGCTCATTCTGGTTATGATTTGCATTTTCCTAATGGCTAATAATGTTGAGCATCTTTTCATGTGCTTGGCCACTTGTATATCTTCTTTGAAGAAATGTCTATTCAACTCCTGTGCCTATTTTTTCGTTGGGTTGTGTTTTTGTTTTTGAGTCGTGTGAGTTCTTTGTATATTCTGGAGGCTAGACCCTTATCAGATATATGATTTGCCTATATTTTCTCCCGTTCTGTAGGTTGTCTCTTCAGTATTTTGATAATGTTCTTTGGTGTACAAAAGTTTTAAATTTTGATGAAGCCTAATTTATTTTTTATTTTATTGCTCATGTTTTTGGTATTGTATCAAAGATCCAGACTGGTGTGGTGGCTCATGACTGTAATCCCAGCACTTTGAGAGGCCAAGATGGGAAGATCACTTGAGCCCAGGATATATGACCAGCCTGGGCAATATAGTGAGACTTTGTCTCTACAAAAAATTTAAAAACTTAGCTGAGCATGGTTGCACACACCTGTTGTCCCACCTACTTGAGAGTGTGTGGTCCCACCTACTTGAGAGGCTGAGGTGGGAGGATCCCTTGAACTCAGGAGGTTGAGACTGCAGTGAGCCCAGATTGCACCATTGTGTTGTAGCAGAGTGAGACTCTGTCAAAAAAAAAAAAAAAAAAAATCCACTGCCAAATCCAAGATCAAGAAGATTTACTCCTAAAAATTATTTTTTAAAAAGGTGTGTACCTCTGTGTTTTCTTCTAAGCATTTCATGGTTTTAGCTCTTACATTTAGGTCATTGGTCCATTGTGAATTACTTTTTGAATATGATGTGAGATGGGATCCAACTTCATTCTTTGGCAGGTGGATATCCAGTTGTCCCAATACCATTTGTTGAAGAGACAATTCTTTCCTCAGTGAGTGGTCTTGGCACTCTTATTGAAAATCAGTTGGCCATAGATGTATGGGAGGCAGAGACGCTCTTGACTGTGGGAACTTTGGGAGGTCACTTAATTTTGAACTTTTATCTTCTCACCTGTAAAATAGGGATGATAACCTCTTTATCCAGAGTTGTCAGGATTAAGTGAGGTCACATATGGAGAGTGTCAGCCATGGTACATGGTAGGTTCCCCATGTTAATTCTTCCCTTGCTGCAAGACACAGAGGCAGGGTAAGCAGTGTAACATCGATCACCTCTCTTCCTTCTCCTTCCTCCTATCTCCTGGACACAGGACACCTTAGACACAGAAATGTCTACTTTTACCTCAACCATTTGCTGAGTGAATGCTTACACCCCTGAACAAAGACAGTGAGGAGAGACGTCTTGATAGGGTGGGGAAGCTCTTAGCTAGAAATGTAGGCAAGCAAATGAATTAGTGGTGAGTCTTTAATAATTCAATCAGCATTCAGTAAATATTTACCTACTTTGTGCAGGAATCTCTTCTAGGTTCTGAAGATAGAAAGGCAAAAAGCTGCCCCTGACCTCACAGAGGTCTCATTCTAGAGGGGGGAGACAGGCTGTTACACAGGCAGTTACAAAACTGTAATAAGTTCTCAGATAGAATAAAGCAGAGGATTGTGAAAGTGTGCAGGGAGAAAATAGCTATAGCCCCCTCGAGGATTCAGGGAAGGCTTGTGGGAAGGTGACACTTGGGCTGGGTATGAAATGATTCATAGGAAGAAGTAGGCAAGGTGAATAAGGGGAGAAAATATTAGCATAGGAGAAATCATATACAGAGCTATGAAGGCATGAATATATGTTCCGGATTCTAGGAGATGAAAACTATTCCAAGGTGCTTGGAACATAGGGTAGGGGTGGGAGCAGGGTAAGAAAATGGTTTGATTTTATTTAGATGGCCATTGGGAGCTATGAGATTTAAACAGGGAAGTGCCATGGTCAGATCTATATTTTTATTTATTTATTTATTTACTTATTTATTTAGAGACAGGGTCTCTCTCTGTCACTTAGCCTGGAGTATGGTGGTATGATCATAGCTCACTGCAGTCTCAAACTCCTAGACTCAAGGGATCCTCCACCTCAGCTTCTTGATTAGCTGATAGTATAGGTGCAGGCCACCATGCCTGACTATTTTTTATTTTATTTTTTGTAGAGACAAGGTCTTGCTATGCTGCCCAGTCTGGTCTCCAATTCCTGGCCTCAAGTGATCCTCCTGTCTTGGCCTCCCAAAGTACTGTGATTACAAGTGGGAGCCACTGTGCCCGGCCAGATCTATACTTTAGAGACTGATAAGGAGACCAGTGTGGAAAATCACTAATTAGGAGAAGGATGAGGATGGAGGCAAAAAGAACTTGGAAGAAATGTAGTAGTGAGGATGGAGAGGAGGAGGATTGTTAGTTAAATTTATGACAAGTCAGATATAGGAGTATGGGAGAGGAGGGGCTGAGGATGACTCAGATTTCTGAACTGGGGGAGTTGGCCATAGGGCCATTCACCCAGTTAGGGACATAGGAGTGAGGAGCAACGTCAGAGATGAAAAAATGATGTTCGATTTTGCAGATGGATCCTGATAGAGATATCCAGTAGACAGACTGTGGGAGGGCAGAAGAGAGTGTGAGTTGTAACACGGGTTAGTGTAAAAAGCAGACATTACTGTCTAGCCTGCTAAAGTGAGAAGCAGGTTACTGTGTTTCACTTTATTTTGTTTTTGACAATTAAAATATTAAGGAGTTTTATTTTAATACCAAAAATATAAAGGAAAAAAATGCAGCACATAATCCCACTGCTCAAATAACCCCTATTGAAAGACAGGGAGGGGCCGGGCACAGTGGTTCATGCCTGTAATCCCAGCACTTTGGGAGGCCAAGGTGGGCGGATCACAAGGTCAGGAGTTCGAGACCAGCCTGGCCAATATGGTGAAACCTTGTCTACTAAAAATACGAAAATTAGTCAGGCATGGTGGTGCGCGCCTGTAGTCCCAGCTGCTCTGGAGGCTAAGGCAGAAGAATCACTTGAGTCTGGGAGGCAGAGGTTGCCGTGAGCTGGGATTGTGCCACTGGACTCCAGCCTGGGCAGACAGAGGAGTGAGACTCTGTCTCAAAAAAGAAAAAGAAAACAAAAAAAAAAAAAAAAGAGAGAGAGAGGGAGGATAATATATACTTAGAAAACACAAATCAGTTCAGACAAGTATAAAAATGAAAAGTGCAGGCCTTCCCTCAGTCCTCCATTCCCTTAACCACTGTTAACAGTTTCTTGTGTTTCCTTTGTGGAAAAAAAAAAAAGCATATACCTACTAGATTCTGAGTATCTCCAAAGGGGTTCTGCCATTTACAGTGTTTAAGAGGTCTGTTTTATTGAGCAGATTAAACTTCTCATCACTTTGCCAGCCTTCACAAACCCACCTATTTTGGTCAGGTGGACCTGTGAGCTCACTGAGGGGAAGGGGAGGGGGCGGGTTCTGTGTTTCTGTGTCCCTAGCTCAGGTATAGGGGCTGGCCCAGGGTAAGTGCTCAAAAGAATAATGGAAAGAGCTGTTTCTTCATCTGGAAATTTGGAGGGCCTTTGCTTTCAGGTCCAGTTGGTTAAATGACTCATTCAGCAAACGTTTTCAGAGTCCCGACTAAATGTGCAGCGCAGTGCTTGTTGTGTGTGTGTGTGTTTTGCAGCGGGGCGGCGGGGGGGGGCATTGTGGGGGGTGGAGGGAGGGCAGAGGACTTGGATCCTGGCCTTACTGAAGAGAAGAGCAGAACTAGAAAGGCCAGAGATCTTCCAACTTCATGCCTTTGGAGGGGGGAAGCTGAGGTCCAGAGTGAGGTTACCATTCGTCTAGAGCCACATGGCTTGTTGGCAGCAGAACCAGCTGTGACTCCACAAGAGTATGTGGTGGTGGGGGGTGCAGGCACTGAGTGAGGCGCAACCCTTGGCCTGTGTGTTATGGGCATGGTTGATTTACACCCTCTCCCTGTGAGCAGCAGAGTGGTTGGTACTGAAGGAACAGCATTGCCAGGAGTCAGGAAGCCTGGATCCCGGGGCTCTGCCACCCTCCACCACATTGACACAGGCCAGTCACGTCCTTTCTCCTCTGAATGGAGGGTGGGTCTAACTAAAACCTCAAAGTCTTTCTTACTATTATTACTCTAATTGTTAGATACTATTTTAAACAAATTATAGGAAATCCAATTTTATGATTTTGAAATTCTAAAATCCTGGTTTTCCAGGATTCTGAGGATGCTGCTTGGGGTCGGTTGTTCTGTGCAGAGTCCTGTGCTATGAACTTGACATGTTGTGTAGTCCAGAAGGGCTCCATATACATTTTCCAGTTTGAGACCAAGGTCAAAGAGACCAGACTTCAAAGGAGTTCGAAACCAGTCAGGCCCCTTGGAGCCAGCCCAGACCACCATCAAACAGTGCACAGGAGGCGCCTAGGTGAAATGCAGAAACCATTTCAGGGCTTGGCTGGATCCTTCGGTAGGCATGGCAGGTAGACCAGGCCTAGGCAAACACTGCCATTTTACACGGGAGGACTCAGGCTCAGAGCGGGGAACTGAGCCATTGCCTGCAGGCTCTGTGAAGCCTTACTGTTCTTTGTCCCGTGCTCTTCCTACACGTTGGGCAGGGCCCCCTGAGACACTGCGTGCTGTCTGTGGGGGAATCCCAGAAGGCAGGACAACAGAGTAGACCCCTAGAGTGGGTCTCAATCCCCAGATCTGTAAGGATCTCCTGGGAGCTCGCTAAAAGCCTAAGTGCTGGGGGCCTATTCCCCAAGACTCAATTGGAATATTTCCTAGTTGGGATCAGGCACCATTTTTTTATCTTTAACTTCAGAGTTTGAGACCTTTTACCCTGGACTCTTTCCGGCGGAAAACACAAAAACAAACGTAAGAAAGTGGGCTGAGAGGCCTGGGTTTGGGTCCCAAATTTGCTGCCCACTAGCTGTGAAATCTCTGCAAATTCTCCAGTGAGAGGGTTGGATTCTGCAAGAAAACTTTTCAAGCACTTTCGCATCTGTCCGCTTCGCGTTAGCAGACAGCGTCGTTCCCATCTGACGGAGGGGAAAACCGACCGGGAGAAGGGAGGATCCTGCCCGGGGCTAGTGGAGAGGCGGGCAGGGAGCCGGGTTCAGCCCGGCACTCCTCACGCCCAGCGCACTCCGCCGACCCCCGAGCCCAGCCTCTCTCGCCGCGGCGCCGCCCCGCCGTCCTGCCCGGCTCGGCCGTCTGAGAACAGCGGGCAGCGCGGGGATCCAGCCGGCCGCCGCCTGTCAAACCCTCTGCTCAGCCCCGCGTCGGGCCCCGCCCAGACCCCCAGGGGGGGATGCCCCGCCCTCGCGCCGCGATTGGCCTGAGCCGGGCGGCCGCGGCCAGCCAGTGGCTGGAGCGGCTGTTGGGCAGACGCGGGCCCGCCCCCGTCCCCCGGGGAACCGCCCCGCAGGACGCGGCGGCGGCGGCGGCGGCTGCGGCGGCTGCGGGGGCTGCTGCGCCAGTGGAGGCGCGCCGAGCCGGGCGCCCAGCGATCTGCAGCTGCCGCTGCGAGGTGAGAGGGGGCGCGGCCCGCGGCCGAGGGAGGGGCGTGTGCGGGGCCCGAGATCCGAGGCTGGCGTCCCGGCGACGCTCGAACCCCGGCAGCTTGGGGATGGCGCAGGGAGCGCGGAGGGGAACGGAGAGTTTGGGGGCCCCTGATGGAAGGGCTGAGGGAGGCTCTGTCGCGGCCCCCATCGCACGCGCGTGTGGCGAGAGCGTGGGACTGTGTGGTTGTGCGCTGCTGAGCGTCTGACCAGCGGCAGTGTGGGTGGCGTGTCCGTCCCCGGGCGTGCCTCGGCGGGTGTGCGGGTGTGTGGCGGCGGCCGCGTGGGCATTGCCCACTGTGCCGGTTTGCGCGCGCGACGGGCTCGATTCCTCCGCTGCGCATAGGAATGTGGGTGTCCCGGCTGCGCGTGATGGGTTCGCGTCGCAGGATTCAGCGCCCAGCTTGGGACTCCTGTTTTCCAGGTTCGGGTGGTCGCGGGTGAGTCTCTGGGGGTTTCCCTCGGGCCTTTGGGTTCGGGTCCCCAGCTTCTGCGCGCAGCTCGGCCCCGGAGAGTCGACGAAGCGCGCAGCCCGTGACCTACCCGGAGCCGTCTCCGGGGCTTCGCCCGAGCCCTGCTCTGGGAATCCTCGTTGCCGCCGGCTCCGTGTTCCACTGGGGGACGCGGAACAGGCGCCTTACCCGCTCCAGGCCTCAGTTTCACCATTCGTGCAAAGGAGGCTGGTTTCGGTGGAGGAGGATTTGGGTGGGACTTCGCGGTAATGCGCCGCGGCGCGGGGGCCTGGGGTCCTCCCCACACCAGGGAAGGGCGAACCGCTCCTGAGCGAGGGGGCTTTTGCGTGGAATCAGGTGGGTTTGACCTCTGATTGGGCTAGGTGTCGTGGTGCTAACCTATGTTAAAGACGCGCAATCCACCGAAGGGGCAGTGACCTGCTCAAACTCGGCCCCGGGACAATACGGGGGCCGCTTTCCGCATTCTAACTGGCTGTGCTGTCTCCCCTCCCCAGGAGCCCGGCGCGACCCCCAGCCGTGCGCCCCGCCCCGGCGCCATGCATTGCGAGGTGGCTGAGGCACACTCGGACAAGAGGCCTAAGGAGGCCCCTGGTGCGCCCGGCCCCGACCGCGGCCCCGCCAGCCTCGGCGCGCACATGGCCTTCAGGGTCACCGTGAGTGGCGGCGGCTGCGGGGACAGGGGCCCGCGGGACCTGCTAGCCCGGCCGCCTGCGCCGCCACCGCGCGCCCACGACCTCCTCCGGCCCCGCAGTCCCCGAGACTACGGTCCATCCAAGGCCGCCGCCGCCGGGAAGGGTGAGTTCGGCCCTGCCAACGTGCCTGGCGGCTCCTGTGGAGATTCGGGCTGCCCGGCGTCGCCACCGCGTGCTCGGGAGAGCTTGGTGGAACTTTCTTCGGAGTTCCTCAGTTTCTCTCTTATTGTTTGGGACTAGCTTGTCAGTGTGAAAGTATGCCTGCTTTGCGAAGCATCTAATTTAAATTCAATTAGCCCCGTTTGGGGAAATGTGTTTATAGAAAGCTCTCAGCTTACATAATTTTGCTTCTGTGTGTTTCTGATAAAGCTTGCATAGAAACTTGTCAAAATTTTATTATACATGAGGGCGAATAGCAACGCATATATTGGTATCTGTTTCTGAGCAGCTCAAGGCATAGTTTGAAGTATTTCAATCTCCTCAGCTGACAAAACCCAGAGGCCTTTAGCAAGACCCCTCTCCTTTTGGGACCTCAGTTTCCCCATCTGTCAAGTGAGGAATTAATTAAACCAGATGATTTCTGGATTCCTGATGGAAAATTTTCTGCATCAGCAATCCAGCCTAGTCACGTCCTAACTTAAACATGGCTTTTCTGTACTTGGTGCTTCGGCAGCCTAGTCTTGGGTCACAAGCTCCTTGGCAAGTCCCTTCGTCCCCCAGTGAAGCTGGCCACGGGAAGGTGGGGGTCCCAGTATGGCTTATGGGCTCAAAGTCGGAGATGGTGCTGGGATTTTCAGGAACATGCTCTTCTCATCACAGTTAATTATTATTGAGTCATTATTTATGAGTTTCGTGCTGACAGATAATTAACCAGGAATTGGAGAAATTGTTAAGATGCTGTGTCCTCGTCCTCCCCCCTTTTTTTTTCCCTTAGGGGAAACCAAGGCTTTGGGGTTTGACTATATCTGCATTTGGAACCTCTTGGTTCTCATTCCAGATGATTCTCAAGGAAGACAAAAACAGTTTGGGTTTTACGGTTATAGGCATCACTTCCTAGCATCAGCCTCACAACTCGGAAGGGGTAGGCAGCCTACTTTTAGAGTTGAGAGCTCCTTGTGGATCAAAAACACCCAACTCCCTGGTTCAGGGATTAGTAAAATGAAATAAACATAAGTAGTTTTTTTCTTTTTTGAAGAAAACACTTGACTTTGTAAGAGAGAACTACTTCTCATCTCCTTGTTTTAGATGCCAGCCTCTTTTTCAAGGGATAGAGATAATATTTTAGAAGGACAGATACAGTGGGGAGGGGCGGGAAATGCCTGCTGAGTGTTATTGCTGGAATACACACATATGAGGTCTCTTTTACCAGAGAGGAGCGCTGCGCAGCGAGACATGAGTAATGTTTGCTGCCGGGAGCTCCCTGGCTTGCCCCGCTCCATACACAATCCTCCCTTAAATAGATACCCTCCTGCAACGTTCTGTGTTTAAAAAAATCATGGCTGTCCTCTGAAGATCGAGTTCTCTGCAGACCTAGCAAACAGCTCTCCCGAACATAATCTTTGTTCCACGCTATGGTGAGACCTTTCACCTGGGGGCTTTGTGTACGATCTTCCTACTTCCATTCCCCCTAACCCCAGTTATTTTTACGCACGCCCCCAAACATGTCCAAAATAAAAGATCTTTAAGTCAGGATTCCATTTGGAAAGGGCAGAGGAGAATAAAGGGATGGGAGGAAGAGCCTCTTTCTTTGTACCTTAAGCTGGTCTCTCTGGTGAAGCTTTTTTCCAAGAGGTTTCACAACTTTTCTTCATAGCCTCCCAGTGAGGCTGTTGTGGTGGGATGTATCCCACTCATTTGAAGGGTGAGGAAACTGAGGCCTGAAGGTGGGAAAGTGTTTGGTATGTGTAGGGCAGTGGTTAGGGAAGCCACAGCTCTGGCCTAACCTGGCCTAGGGAGAAAGGGAAGGCTCAGGGTCCTGGGCTTGGAGAGGTTTCCCTGCTGGCCTCTGTGTTGCTATAGGCAAGCTTTTCCTCACAGTGCAGTCACCAAGTGGCCCGAGACAAACCCAGCTTTCCCCCAGTTCTTCAGCGTCCTTAAAAATGCTGCGAGGAAACGGCACCTTCTTACTGCCCCTACTCCCACCGAAATAGTCCCAGACCATGTAACCCTTTGAATATTTGGTGTCTAGCTCCAAGTTCTCAGGCTTATTGGAAACAGACAGAAATACCAATTGAAAAATATGTATTGACTGTGCTGGGAATTGTGAGACCCCACCATCTATGATCTGTGGCACTTGGGGGAATCGATTTTACTCTTCTGAGCCTTTGGTTCCTTCGTTTGTAAATTTACCCTGAGACTTAATTCGCAAGACTGATGAGATCATTAGTGATAAAGAATGTGCAAGGGCCACCTCAGTGCCTGGTTATTTTTAGGATTACTACTGTAACCTGTTTCACATTCTCAACCTCTGGGTTTTCATTTGCGTGAGAGGTAATGGTGCCTACCTTGCAGGGTAAATAAAACAAGAGTTGTAAGAATGCCTTATAAGCTAAAAAGGTAGAAGGAGGCACTTTTATTAATTCGTGCAGGGCCCATGCAAGGGTCAGTGACACTTGAGATAAAGGGGACAGAGTGAGAAGGAAGCAAGGTTACATTTTTAAAATGCTGAATGTGAAGGGTGCTAACTGTGGTGTGCTAGCCAGGGGAGGCTGAGAGGTGCCAAGCTTCAGGTCTTTTGTGGCCACAGCTGCCCAGTGACCGGAGAGAAGACAGTATGGCTCAGCCTGGGGTCAGGTTTCAGATGCTCTGCCGCCTGCCTCAGACAGTCCCTAAGCAGAGGAAGAGAGTGGGTTCTTGAACCTAGTAGTTTATCCATAAATGTCTGGGGCCTGTGTATTTGATCTGGAATCGGGAGGCACTGGGATGGTGTGATGTCATGGACTAACATTGTCATCATTTACAATAAGAATCATGATCTGTTTATGGCAGAGTCCCGTTTATCCAGATTCCAAACAGCTGGAAAAGCCAAATTGCCAGATGCTGCATTTTTCTTTCCTATTATTAAACACCCGACACTCTGCTTTTATAAGTCCTGACAAGGAAAGAAGGTAAACATCTGGGCTTTATGCAGGCGGACAGCTTTGTGGTGATGGCCTGATGACGCTTGTTCTCTGTGCACGGTGCTTTACAGTGTTCAGAGCGTGTTCCCACACATCCTCTTGTCTGCCCTCACGCCAGCTGGGCTCTGCCTGCCTTGGGGGCTCTTGTGAGGGAGCAGATGTAGAAGTCTGTAAAGTGCTGGGCAGATACTGGCTGTTATTAATGTGATTCCCATTTTATAGATGCAGACATTAAGGTTCAGGGATTTGCTCAAAGCTGCAGACAGTAGGTGGCAGTTTCCAGGCTTCCAGCTGCAAATATTTGATTCTGGTTCCACAACTTGTACCTTCTACATGTGTGTGTTGGCGGCCGAGAGCTGGCATTCACACGAAGGCCTTCTGAACGTTCCCAGAGAATTTAAAAATGTCTTTTGCTTTTGGTATTTCTACTGTCTCACATCTTTGGGAATTGGTAACTAGTATCTATGCCATAGTTAGAAAACTTTATAGTTTACCACATGATTCCATTTGTCCAGAGTTGCTGTTCCCACACCAAACCAGATAATGAGGTCACTATTTAATTTACAGTGACTCACTGGGCCCTTTCACTGTGTACTGAGACTGGATGCATCCTTGCAATAAAAAAGAGGTTGATCACGACAAATGTGAACCCCGCCGTTATAAAAACAGCCATCATGGCTGTAAATGCCAAAAAGCAGTCAGTCTTGTAACTTGAAAAAAAAAAAAAAGGAATTGTAGATTGTGCGCATGGACTCGGAGTGGGGGCGGTGGACAGTAAGTCATGATGTTTTGGTGGTACCACCTGGTTGAATTTCTTCATCTGAATAAGAAGCTCCTGTGATGTTCTGGGGAGGCCTTGGAAGGCTAGCGCATCCCTCATAGAAAGGTATGAGTGACTTTTAAAGCATTTCTCCCCTCCGGCTCCGGTGGGCAATTTGCTTGCATTTCATCCATTTTAAAGTGCTGGTCCTGCGATCCGGAAATAATCAGATCCAAATTTTTTCAGTGCATGAAGTTTCAAATAAGGGGGAGAAAAACCTGCTGGCCAAATGTCAGGCTCAGTGAGACAAAGAGAAACAAGTATGTGTGTGGGTAAAAAATGAGATAGGAACATGTTGCGTCTACAGTCATAAGAGTTATGTATCCGACAAATCTTTTATAGACATGTAGCGGAAATATAATTCCCAAAGATTCCCTAAGAATCTCGGGCGGCTAGAATTCCTCTTCCCTTCCTGCCTCTCAAGCTTTCTAGAAGCTAGGACTCTGTGGGCAAAATGGCAAGGGGACCATCACGTGAGATCGTAATTTAATTTAGGCTTAGTTGTTTCTGAGTAGTTTACCTGTAGCGTGCTTAGCTGGACTGAGGTCTGCAGAGCTTCAGAGCTGTGGAATCACATCGATAGTCTATGTTGCTCCATCTGTGATTTAAAAATGTAAATTTCTTTATATGCTATGATTTTTCTTCATCCTTCTTTTTCTGAAAAACAAAAAACAAAAAACAAAATGAACCTCATCTCAGAGTTACTCATCTCCCTGCGTTTCATTTGCGTGAGAAGCTTAGTGAGCCAGCACACTTATTTTTACAGTGCGTTAAAATCCCATTACAGGCATAAGTGCACAATGAATCACTTAAAAAAATATATTCTTATGTTCTTTGTTCTGAATGTTGCATAATTATCATCATTTTCTTCGGTTTTACTTTGTGGAGTTTGGCCAGTATCCTGGAAGAGGGGAGAAACTAAAGTTTGGGACAGGGTTTTCAATCTGTTTTGGATAGGATTAGGGGAAAAAATAACAAACAAATAAACTTTATTGGGAAGTCGACCAGTGACTATCGCTGAGGATAATTTCCCTTCCTTCTCTCAATTGTCTTGGAAAAGAATTCTGTTTTCAACACGATGTGGTAGTATTTCAGCAACCTCACCTTACATATACGGTTATATTCAAAGTTAAATTATAATGTGTGGTTTGTTATTTTTTTTTTTTTAATATAGATTTCCGTTGCAATTATTTTGGACCTAGAGAATTGTGTGGTTTCTTTTGGTGGGGGGTAGTTTATTTTTATATTTAAAGAAACAAAGACATTCAGTTCAAGGGGGAGAAGAAATGAAACAAAGTTTGCAGTGGGCTTTGAAAACTTGGACTGCATTATGCAAAAAGCACAGCTGTAATACCAGGGCCAGGAAAAAAGACCAAACTCCTGAAATATTTGTGCTGCTCGCCTTCACTGTGCTAATGATTCTAGCAGTTTAAAAACGGACTTCTTGTTTATCAGCAGCCACTGCCCAAATTAATAGTTTACAATGAAAAAAAAAAAAAAGCTTTCAGCATTGGAAGCAAAGTCCAGGGACTGACAGCTGAGTTACTGAGTAAGGAAAGCAGAAAAGAGGGGGAAAAGTAGTTTTGTGGCTACTTTGGTCTCCCAAAGCCATATTTATAAGAAACTGAAAGAAAGCCGAAGGCTGGGCTGGGTAGGGGTGGAGAGAATACAACCCTAACCCAGTGGTCTCAGAGTTGAAAGTCACTTAAAGCATGTTTTCTTCTTTTGCCCTTTTTCCCCCTTAAACTCCAAAGGATTATTCCTTCAGTAGGTTTCCGGTGGATCGAGGCGGATCGTGTTAGCATTACGAGCTGTGTTTTTAAAGTTAGCATTTGAGTCAGATGCGCTGAGAAGAGACCTTTAGTCTGTTAACTGAATAACGCATTTCCTGGATGGCCTGAATTTATTTGGTGGTTATGGTTGGGCCTGCCTGGAGCTAACACATGAGCCATTGTGTAGCATCTTTGCAAGTGGGCCGTGCCCTGTGCTTTGAGCCTTGGTTTTCCCATCTGTAAAATGGAGAGCAGTTCAGTTGGATGATCCATAGTCCCTGCCTGCTGATACTCCAGGATTCCACACTGACTGGGCTGGGAAGGTTTGGAAGGATCTGGGGTGTAGGAAGAGGCCACTTTTGTCTCAGACCAGGTTATACACTGGAACTCTTGACTGCTAAAGATGAACACAGAAAGAATGGGGAAGAGGGAGGTCAACTAACCTTTAGTGAGCGGCTGTTCTGTGCCAGGTGAGATGCTTTAGAGACGTGATCACATTTAATTATGCCCAGCAGCCCTAGGAAGAAAGGAGGCACTGTTCTAATTTTAAAGATGGGGGGACTGAGGCTTGGAAAGGCAAAGTGATTTGTCCAAGGTTGTGCATGTAGTAAGCAACAGAGCCTGGAATTTGAACCCAGGTCTGTCTGACAGCAGAGCCAGTACTTTCCTCTGAAAATACACCACTCTCCAGGACCAGCTTCTTAAACCCAGGCGGCTGGGAAGGAGAGGATGCGGCTCTAGAGAGCTGCGCGCCCCCAAGGAAGCCCAAAGGAAGGCAGCAGGAGGCTGCAGGGGGCCCAGACAGCCACATCCCAGAGCACCCCTTTCTCAGTCTCAGCCAACAGGCTGAGGTGCGACTTACAGGGGATACTCTGCCTCCGTAGGGCACTGCTCCTCTCCCCCTGCAGAACTAGGGAAAGGAGAATGTTCCCAGTGACTCAGGATCCTCAGGAATCTGGGGTCTGGAAAAAGACTCTCTGAGGCCATGGAGGGGGCCCCTAGGAGGGACCGCTTCTCAGAAGCAGTGGCAACTCCCGTCCTGACTGGTTATTGCAGGTAGTAGTCCCTGTCTGAGTCTTTCTTGCCATATGGGGAGATTCCTTGCCAAGGCCCCGGTCGTAGTCTCCCCTCTATGGCTTTCAAAGACATCTGTTGGACGAGAATTCCTCAAGATCCCCACCATGCCTGGTTATAGAATACGTGCTTCCCCAAGCATGTTGGCTCAGGGATCTATTAAACAATTATTTCTTGTTAAACACTTGGTGGGATGAAGTAGGGCTTGGGAGGGAGAACAGGCTGGGGATCAGAGTGAACTTGAGAGTTTGCTTGTGAGAAATGGGTCTTTTGTGTCAAATGATGAATGAGCTAGATGACCCCCCCTATGGAAGGTAAAGGTCCCACGGCTGGTTGCATCTGTGGCCTTGCACGTGCATTCATGAGAATGTGTACATTCTCAGGGAGTCATACTGATTCTGAAGATGGACTTGCAGGAGCCGTTCTGGTCCGAGGTGTTTTTGCCTTCCTACGTGCCGCTGTGTCTGAAGGGGAGTGAATGAAGTACAAGGGATGGCCCTGCCTGCCGTACAGCCCAGCCTGTTCCTATTTGTGTCTTTTTAGCAACCAGATTACTCTTTTAGATGTTACCTTTGTTTTTAAATAACAGGTTTGCTAGAAATCAGGCTTTAGCAAGAAACCAGGGAGTACTATAAACCTGACTTGAAAAATACAGATCCCATTTGCTGTTTTAAGCTCTCCGGAGGACTGGAGATTGGGTTTATTTTGGAACGCTGCTGGACTATATGAATTACTTCTCAGAGGGTTGGGTATTTAATACCTAGTAGAAGTTTGTGTAAGAGTTGATGATGTATTTTGCCAACTTTCCAACCCTGTAAATAAATTACACGTGCCGGCAGAGGTTGCCAGGATCCACTGTGTCAGTTGGAGCTTAATTTTTATCCTAAACCACCGAATACTTTTGTCCTAGCAAGCAGAGAAAGTTACGGAGTTTTTTGCTTGTCACTGGGCCCATCCCAAGACGACGGTTTAAAGAGCCTGAGAATAGGCCTCCGCGGAGTCACTGATTTTGACACCGTTTTCGGTGGTTAAGTAGCTTCAGCAGTCTCAAGTCCAACCCTCAAGGCAGAGAATGATAATATAATTTTAAGCATATCGTAAAAATGAAACTCAATCACTTCCACTCCCCAAACCTGTCTCACTCCCCATCTCTCTGGAGAAAACGGCTGTAATTGTGTGTTTAATCTCAAGACTGCCTTTGCATTTTATCTTATTTGAGTGCAAAGCCCAGGTAATATCGTGGCATTTCCAGCGCGAAACAAAATAGGGTTTCTAATTTGGAGACACTATTAAATATTTCATGCTTCAACCAAACTCAATTCTTTTTTCCTATAATAAGTTTAAATATTAATTCTCTGGAATGTCAGATGCCTAAAGCAAAGCATTTAGTGATCTGCAGTTTCAAGTATCTCGAAGAAGGTTTATGAAACAGGATATTTCACTGGGAGGGATGAGTAGTGTGCTTCAGAGATATGTGAATTCAAGGCATCGTCTTCTGATTTATTTTTTAAAGGGAAAAGGTCATAAAATAAGTTGCTTTATGTGCTGATGGATTAAGTGGCTTAGGCTGAAATAACAGCAGGAACTTTACTATTTTTCCCTGTTTTAACAATGCTTTTTGGGGGAGGGGGGTGGGTCTTTTTCCCGCCTGCTTGTCTCCTCCCTCCGTACCCCCCGTCAACCCCAGCCAGATGGCTTTAATTCTAACCAAATCCCACGCTGAGGCCAAATGATTGATCAAACAGTCATTTGTACTTACGGAGCGCTCTTTGTGAGAATATCTCTGTGCTAGGGCTTCTCGTTGAGGCAGGCTCTTCTTTGGGCCTTCAAACGGATGATTTCAAACAGATCGAGCGGCTTGGTGAGGAGGGGTCCGCGGGTGGATGCGGAGCAAAAATCCCAGACCTCAAGTCCGTAGAACTTCTCGCTTAAAACCTCTGTGTTACTTCCCATCCCTGACAGCAGGGGTATCCAAATGTTCTAAGTATAAGGACAAAAATCTTTCCACTGTCCACGTGACAGCATCTATACTTTTAGTATCTCTTGAAGCAGAATATACCTAATGAGGTTTAGGTAACTGCTAATTTCAAGAGCTCTTTTAAGTAGATATGTACTTTATCCACCACGACAGCATCTACACACATCTGTAGAGACATCAGTTTGTCCTACAGATAGTTCTTGGTACATGCTTTAAAGATCTGTGAAATTATACTTGGCATGTAGATTGACAGCCAGCTGGCCAATGGGAAAAATCTGAGCCCTTTGATCTGGCATTCAAGGCCTTTGTGCCGGGCCAGTTCCATCTCTTGCTGATGTCTGCTTGTGGCAGCAGACTTTTCCTTATGCGGCCTTAGACCTGGAATTTACTCTTTACCTGGCCTTCTTTTCTTATAATCTGTGGGCTTCTTTTTATTCATCTTTGTGCCTCCTTAAATCATTTTTGGAACAAGTGGAAAAATAGATAATATTCAAAGATTCATCTTTGTATTCTTGTGTCCAGCACAAAGTCTGGCATGAAGTTTGTATATAAGAAATGTATAGGGTGCTGATTGAGGGCATGGGTGTGGAACCAGGCCACTAGGTTCGAATCCTGGCTCTGTGTACTAACTTGGGGACCTTGGCAAGTTAGGGAGCTTTTTGGGTCTCAATTTTCTTATCTGTGACATGAGGATAATAATAGTAATGATCTCCAAGGCTGTTGTGAGGGTGGAATGTGTTAACACATGTATAAGTGCTTAAAAAACAGACTGGCACATGGTAAATGCTCAATTAATCTTGGGATTATAATAATTATTATTGTTAGGACTACCATGTAAATGGTAAACAGAACCTCTAGGAAGGGCTTTCCCTCCCTTCCATTCCACCAGATTGACCCTACTGATTCTTTAAGACCCAGCTCAAATGCCACCTCCTCTTTGAAGTCTTCCCTTTCTTATTACCCTTCCTTTTGCCATAGCCCTGCTCATACTCTATGGCAATTTCCTATTTACTTATGCGTCCTTGAAGACAGGGGCAGAGTGTCATTATCCTTGAACCCCGTATGGCCAGCACAGGGCTGGCTCCAAGTGAGTGTCCAGGAAGTTTGGGAATGAAGTACAGCCCAGTCTCAAGGAGCCTGTAGCCTGTAAAGGAGGAGCTGTGTTTGATGTTCTTGTTTTTCCTGCAAGGTTGAACATATGGTAAGCTCTCAACACATGTGAGATGCCAGTAAATTCTTTTTCTTTTTTCTTGCCCTGTCTTATGGTGCTGAGATGCCAGTAAATGCTGCATGAGTTCTCACATGCAGATACCATCATGTTTTCTTTCCAACACTGTCTTGAGGCTCTTCAAAATAAGGTCTGCCCCTTGATTGCTAGTGACCCTGGGGGAGTCTCCTCACTCAGCTGGGCCTCCCTCTCCCCTCCCTCTGGGAAGGATTGGCTTCAGGGCTTGCAGGCTCTTTCGTTGCAAGCCTTTGGAGCTGCCAGGCCAGGGGCCAGGTGGAGGAGCTTGGGGCCTGATGACTGTCCTGCAGTGACTGACCATTGGCCTCTTGGCCAGGATTGGCGCTTTTTGTCACATGTTTATCCTCCCTTTAAGACAAAGCCCCAAGTACTGTGACACGCGTCTCATCTTGTGGCTTAAAGAGCAGCTACGAGTGGTTGCTACACGTCTCACCCAGATTTCTCTAAGATGAAGAGGAACCTTAGACCAAATGTTGGAATTGAGAGCTGGGAGCCAGAGGATGGTAGCTCTTGGTGACCCTGCTGGGGTGGTGATTGGTGTCCACACCCAAGATCTCCACTCCAGGACAGGCTTAGAGCCCCTGGGGGATGTATTGGTCTCATGGCCCTTCTCTGGGCACCATTTTGGGCTTTGTAAACTGTAAAGCTTTCCAGAAATCATATTATTCATTCAAGCCCCCTTTGGGTAGTTGGGAAGACTAAGGTTCAGAGAGGTCATGTTACTTATCCAAAGGCGGCCACATGGCTTTTAGAGTCGGAACTGAGTTTGGATCCTGACTACATTACCTGCTAGGCCTTAGGCAAGTTCGTTGAACTCTGAGCCTCAGTCTTCCTCATTTGAAAAGTGGAGATAGTTCCTGTCTCATGGATTGCTAGGGGGATTAAGAGGAGTGCCTGTAGAACACATAGCTCAGGTGCTAGTGCACAGCAGGTGTGTCCCAGAGGTGAGCTGTGGTTGTTAGTCTTTGTGAGTGGAGAGCTGGGCTAGGTCCCAGGCCTGACTCTGTCTGATGTTGTTTCTCCTCTGCACTGTAGTACTTTATTCCCAGATTCTGCTTTTTAATTCTTTTTTGGTGTAATTACAAGAATAAGGACTTTGGGGTCAAACTGAGGCTTGAGCTGCAGAGATGGAGGATGCAGGTCTGGCTGGTGGGCATAGTGGTTTCCCCTAGGGCTGGGGGAGGTTGGGGAGGGAGGAGGGTGTGGGCTGCCTCGGTGCATCTCTCTGACAGGTCCTGGCCCTGGGTCAGTCCAAGATGCTTGTTCAGCCTGTGGTGTCCAGTAGGATGAGGGTTGTCTGTTGAGTGGGTCTGGAGGCACACCCCCACCTCTTCCCTAGTTTATTGGGCTGGGAGTTGCTGTCAGACTCCAATATCCAGAGGAATTACCTTGATTCTTCCTCTTAAAACCTAAGATGCCAGGACTACCCTGTTCCCCACGTCCCCATGCCTGCCTGGCCCTGCAGTAATGTAGTGGCTTCCATCTGTTGAGTCCTGCTGTGAGTAGACGTCCCATGAGGCCATTTAATTCTTTCTACATTCACTCCTTGCGCAGTGGGTGTTAGCATCCTTATTTTGCAGATGAGAAAGCTGAGGCCTGGAGAAGCTAAATGATGTGCCCGGAGTTCTAGAGCTGGTAGGTGTTAGCTGCCGACCTACCCGCCCCTTCTACACACCTTGCCACCTGTTGGACCTTCCATCAAGGCCTTGGGTCCAATGTTACCCACTCATCACAGTCAAAAAACTTCCTCCTCCAGCCAGAATTAACCCGTCCTTCCTTCATTGTCTGACTGCTGTTTGTCATTTATCTCTCATGAAAGAGTCAGGTGTTCCAGATGCTTGCGTTCATTTTTCCCTTCCCCATGAAACTGTGGGCTTCTTGGAAGCAGGATATGTCATGAACGCATCTCTGACTTGCTGATAGAGGATAGAGCAAAGGATAGAAAGAACACAGCACCCTGGCAGGATGAATCTGCCCCTCTCCAGTCAAGGTGGGGCTTCTTGGGAAGTTCTTGAAGCAGATTTTCAGTACAGCAACTCAGAGTGGCTCTCAATTTTTGAGACTCAGTTCCCCCTTTTAAAATGGGGGAATGACCCCTGTCTGGCCAATTGTTAGGGGCAGATGGGATGAAGTATGTAGAATTAGCCTGAAAACTGGAATGGCTGTACCTGTGTTTGGCTGGTGGTTGGTTGGTTTATCCATATTTATCGGATGCCCGCTGTGCTCCCAGTGTTGGGTTCTGCCCTGGGACACCATGGAGAACCAACAGATGGAGCCCTTGCCTCCTCGGAGCTCGCAGCCTGGAGGGTCGGTGTTTGCAGGTTCCCCCTTCAGGCTGGCCGGGTTTCCAGGCCTCTGTGCGGCATCAGCACCTTATCATTTGCTGTCTGTCCTAGGCAGACTCCAGTTCTCCAGCCAGTCTCAGCCTCATGACCTCAGACAGTCTCACCCAGCCTTGGTCTGCTGAGTCACAGAATGGAAACTGGTGCTCACTCCCCTGGCCAGGGTAGCATGAGAATCAGTGAGGTAGGGTGGAAAAGGGCTCTCTAGGTGGCTAACAATTGGGAACTCTAGGACAGGTCAGAACTTGAGTTTGCAGACCAGCCCTCTACAGGACACTGGTGGACACAGAGTGTTAAATCCTGGGCTTGAGGACTGCTTTGGGCAGCCCTTTTCTTGTACCTGTTGCCGATTCTGGTGGCTTAAGCTTTCTTCTTGGAGTGAATACCTACTCATTGTCTCAGGCAATACAGGCCAACAACTTTCCTCTTTCAGCAAGTCTGCAGGGTGTCTCCTGTCCCAGCTTCATACCTCTCCCTCCCCACTCTTCCCATTCCCACTCTCTCCATGGCTCTGGCTGCTATGCACTCAGAATACGGAAGAGCTATTTGCTGGGGTGGGGTAGAGAAAACTAAATTCCCATTGCTTGATGTTGGCTGAGCAGGTGGCACTGTTGGAGACTCGCCTCCTATTCCTCTTTCTCCTCCTCATTTTTTTTCATTATCCTACAGTGATCAATTGAGCATTGTTAGGTACTGGACCAATCATCTTTTTAAAAATGAATCATCTTAACAGCCATGCACCTGTAGTCCCAGCTAGTGGTGAGGCTGAGACAGGAGGATTGCTTGAAGCCAGGAGGATTGCTTGAAGCCAGGAGTTCAAGACCAGCCTGGGTAACATAGTGATACTCTGTCTTTACTTTTAAAATTTAAAAATTAGCTAGGTTGATGGTGTGCACCTGTAGTCTCAGCTACTAGGGAGGCTGAGGGGGAGGATCACTTGAGCCCAGGAGTTCAAGGATGCAGTGAACTGTAGTCAAGCCACTGTACTCCAGCCTGGGTGACAGAGCAAGACCCTATCTCTCAAAATAAAATAAAAGATCATCTTGTTTAATCTTAAAACTACCTTGTGATGTTTGCTTCTCCACAAAAACACTATGGCTATTTAGATGAATTACAATTAAATAAAATTAAAAATTTAGTTTTCCAGTCATACTAGCTACATTTCAAGTGCTCAGTAGACACATGGCTAGCTGGTAGCTACCATATTGGAAACTGCAAATATAGAGCATTTCCTCCGTCACAGAAAGTTCTGTTGGACAGCATTAGTCTAAAATATCATTCTTTAATGTATTCATTTGTTCCTCACCTGTTTCCTGACACTCTTGTCACATGCTAAAGTCTCTAGCATCCTTGGCCTCTACCTTGGGGAGCATCCAGTTGAGAGGGTGGGCAGATGGCCATAGAAGTGTTGAGATGGGGCTGTCATGCTGGCTACCAGTCCTGCCTCCTGTTGGAGATACACATGTGAGTCCTAGGATCTGTCCTATTCTCAGAGTGTTCTTAAGGCAGCACTGATAAAAGAGATCAGGGCAGTCTTCCATGAGAGGTAGCATTTGAGTGGCCAGACCTGGTGGGTGGCTTCTGCTGGTTCCTTAGCGGGTAACCCAGAGCCAGCTCACCCCTGGAAATGGAAACATGCTGACAGTGCCCTGAGCAGCAGCTTAAACGGGAATGGCAGAATATTGATTTATTCTTGTAGGTTCCTGGATTTTAACAAATTACTGAGTTTTTACTCCTAGTCCTTCTTTGGGAAGTGGCTGACCCTTTAAAGGTAATTTAATTTAATACTCTTTATTTTTTCCCACTCACGTGAGTACTATATACTTACTGTAGAAGCTTTGGAAACTATAGAAACATGGAAAGATGGAAATAATACTTGCCCAGAATCTCACCCCCCAGTAATGACTACTATTTACATTTTGGTAGATTTCTTTTCAGTCTTCTTTCTATGCTTGTCTATTAATATAGTTTTATATCATTGAGATCATTCTGAATATAGTCTTATTACTTACATTTAAATTTAAGGCCAGGCGCGGTGGCTCACCCCTGTAATCCCAGCACTTTGGGAGGCCAAGGCAGGCGGATCACCTGAGGTCAGGAGTTCAAGACCAGCCTAGTCAACATGGCGAACACTGTCACTACCATACAAAAATTAGATGAGCATAGTGGCACGCACCTGTGATCCCAGCTACTCGGGAGGCTGAGGCAGGAGAATTGCTTGAAGAACATGGGAGGTAGAGGTTGCAGTGAGCTGAGATCAAGCTGCTGCACTCCAGCCTGGGTGACAGAGTGAGACTCCAGCTCAAAAAAAAAAAAAAGTAAATAAATAAATAATAAGCTTAACATTGAACATAATAAACCTTTTTTATGTTATTAACATTCTTTGTAAAGATTCAGAAGCATATTTTTTATTTTTATTTTTTTTGAGACAGAGTCTCACTCTGTCACCCAGGCTGGAGTGCAGTGTCACGATCTTGGCTCACTGTAGCCTCTGCCTCCCAGGTTCAAGTTATTCTCCCGCCTCAGCCTCCTGAGTAGCTGGGATTACAGGCATGCACCACCATGCCCAGCTAATTTTTGTATTCTGAGTAGAGATGGGGTTTCACCATGTTGGCCAGGCTGGTCTTGACCTCCTGACCTCAGGTGATCCACCCGCCTCGGCCTCCCAAAGTGCTGGGATTACAGGTGTGAACCACTGCACCTGGCCTACTCTTTTTTTTTTTTTTTGAGACGGGGTCTCACTGTCGCCCAGGGTGGAGTGCAGTGGCCCAATCACAGCTCACTGTAGCCTCCACCTCCCCGGGCTCAGGTGATTTCCCGCCTCAGCCTTCCAGTAGCTGGGACTGCAGGCACACGCCACCACGCCTGGCTAATTTTTTTGTAGAGACAGGGTTTTACCATGTTGGCCAGGCTGGTCTTGAATTCCTGGGTTCAAGCAATACTCCCACCTCGGCTTCCCAAAGTGTTGGGATTATAGGAGTGAGTCACCACACCTGGCCTGCATATTACGTTTTATTAAATTTGTTGAAGTATTTTGAATAGGTGATACATTAAAATGGTCCAAAATTTGGAAGGCCCAAAAAGGGTCCTTAGAGAGCGCCTTCCTCTTCTCTCTTTTGTCTGGCCTCTCAGAGATAGTTTATGTGAATACAAACAAATATGTATATATATTACTTGCATGTGCATAATAGTTCAGAATTTTCAGCTTTCCCCCAGTAAAGCTAATGCTGCAGTGAATATCTTTATGTAGTAATCTTCATTTGCGTTTCTGATTATTTTTGTAGGATAGATTCCCAGAAGTGGAAATTACTAGGCTACAGGGTAGTAACATTTAACACATATTACCACATAGCTCTTTGGGAAGGGTACACTGATTTTCACAACTGCAGGCATTGCTGTCTCATGGAACTGTATCTTTACCAGTGTTTCAACATTTTCCTAATTTGAAGATGGAATTGACATCTGGTTTCATTATATGTTTGTTTGATTATTAGTATAGTCAAACAGGTATTGTGTGTTGCTTCAGAGTTCTTATCTCCTCTTTTGCAAATTGGTGTTTATGTTGGGCATCTGAATATTTTACTTATAAAATTTAAGAATTGGCATTTTTAAAGTGCTGTCATTAGGGATGTTAATGCCTTTGTTCATCATATTTGTTACTAATATTTTTATGAGTCTGCTGTCTTAATAAGTTTTTTATGATTTTGAAATAAAAAATTGAATTTTATGTCATATTTCCAAGATTTTCTTTTGTCTTTTCTTTCATTGCTTTCTTTTTGTCGTTCACCACGTCCCATCGTTTGTTATTATTACTATTTGTGGGAGCTTGTTTTATTAACATTCTAAAAATAAACTTTTATTTTTAGCAAAATAATGCCAAACATAGTTTTTAAAATCACCTAATAAAATAAGGCTTTAGACAGAACCCCTCCTCCTCTGTCGCACTCCAGAGAGGCAGCTGCCTTCGGCCAGGGCTGCTGTGGTGCCCACCTTCAGGGGGCACCAGGTGTGTGGACCTGGGTAGCACAACAGCCCTGCCTTCAACTCAGTCATTTTTTTTTTTGGCATTTTCTTCTGTACACCTCAGTTACAAAAATAAAAACAGTGGAAGCTAAACTTTACGTGGTGTTTACGGTCCAGGCTTGCTTCAGGTGCCTTACAAATATAATTCCTTTCATTCTCCCAGCAGCCCTAGGAAGGAGTTACTGTTACTCTCCCCGATTTGCAGATGAAGAAATAAATGTGGAGGAGGGAAGGAACTAGTCCAGGGTTACGCAGCTGGTGAGTGGTGGAGCTGGGATTAGGCCACCCTAAATAAGATTTCTGCTCCTGTTCCTGGATCAAGTATACTTACTGTCTACTGGCTTCCTATTATGATAGATGAAGATTTAGTTCTCTTTTTTTTTCCTTTCAGTCATTCAATACATGATTTTTATTTATTTTATAAAAAATTTATAAATAAAAATGTATTTTATAAAAAAGTGATTTTTGTGTTTTCCTTTTAGTCATTTAATATATTTTTACTGAGTACCTACTGTGTGCCAGAAACTTTTTTTTTTTGAGATGGGGTCTTGTTCTGTCACCCAGGCTAGAGTGCAGTGGCGTGATCTCGGCCCACTGCAGCCTGGACCTTCCGGGCTCAAGTAATCCTCCCACCTCAGCCTCTAAGGTAGCTGGGACTACAGACTCCGGCTACCATGCCCAGATAATGTTGTATGTTTTGTAGTAGTGGAGTTTCACTGTGTTGCCCAGGCTCAGAAACTAGTTTATTTCTTTTTTAAAATTGATACATAATAGTTGTACATATTTTTGGAGCACACGTGGTATTTTGACACATGCATACAACGTGTAATGATTGAATTGGGGCAATTGGGACATCTATCACCCCAAACATTCACCCCCTTTTATGTTGGAAACATTCCAGTTCCTCTCCTCCAGCTATTTTGTACTATTACTGTTAACTATAGTCACTTTACTGTACTACCAAATGCTAGATCTTATTCTTCTGCCTCTTTTTGTACCCATTAACCAACTTCTCTTCTTTTTTTCCTTCCCTCACCCTTTCTAGCCTCTAGTAACTGCCATTCTACCCTCTACCTCCATGAGAACAATGTTTTTAGCTCTCACATATGAGTATAAGGAAGTTACGGTATTTTTCTTTCTGTGTCTGGCTTGTTTCATTTAACACAGTTCCATCCATGTTGATGCAGATGACAGGATTTCATTCTTCTTAAGGGCTGAATAATATTCTATAGTGTATTTATACCGCATTTTCTCTATCCATTTGTCTATTGATGGACACTTAGGTTGATTCCTTCTTGGCTATTGGGAATAGTGCTGTAATGGTGATGGTATCCTTTTACTATTATTATTATTGTTTTTGATACAGAGTCTTGCTCTGTTGCCCAGGCTGGAGTGCAGTGGCACGATCTTGGCTCATTGCAACCTCTGGTTCCTGGATTCAAGCAATTCTCCTGCCTCAGACTCCTGAGTAGCTGGGATTACAGGCGCATGCCACCATGCCCAGCTAATTTTTGTATTTTTAGTAGAGACGGGGTTTCACCATGTTGTCCAGGCTAGTCTCGAACTCCTGACCTCAGGTGATCCACCTGCCCCAGCCTCCCAAAGTGCTGGGATTACAGGCATGAGCCAATGTGCCAGGTCTCAGATACCCCTTTGATATACTGATTTCCTTTCTTTTAGATGTATGCACAGCAGTGGGATTGCTGGATCATAGGGTAGCTCTAATTTTAATTTTTTGAGGAACCTTTATACTGTTTTCCATAATGTCTGTCCTACATTCCCACCAACAGTGTCTGAGTATCCCCCTTTCTCCACAGAGGATTTGGTTTTTTTCAACTCCCACTCCACCCCCATCTTACTCACTTGCACTACCCCTCCCTCCTTCCTCCTGCCCCAGTTGCATCACAATTCTTTGGGTAAAGTGGTGCACCACTAGGACTACGTGTAACGGGGTATTAGTGTAGGCATTGTGGGTCTGGCTGAGTCCTAAGACAGTGGATCTTAACAGTAGGCATTGGCCACTACATTCCTAAGCAGGACTTCAGGTGTGTAAACTCTGATTTTGAGATCCTTACTGGCATACGCTTTGAGGATATGAAAGGGTTGAGGTGGAAGAGCCCACAGAGAGGATTTCTTCAGAGAGAATTGTTGAGAAGCTGACGTTTTCTGCCCCCCATGCCAGGTGGGCAGGGAGGGAACGCTTTTTCCTTACCTCAACTCAAGAGAGAAGGGCTCTAAGAGGATCACTCAGAGAACTGGGCACAGCCCTGGACGCCGAGCAGTGAGTGCATTTGATCCATGCCTGGAAATACGGAACACGAAAGACTGTGGTTGGAGCCCCTGCTTCGTGGCAGAATGAGGAGAGGTGGCTGCATTGTTTCTGCCAACGATGGGGCAGAGGCAGTGTTCAAGGACCTGGGCAGTGGTCGTTTTCAAACTGATCCTGCCCAAGAGAGCTTCTTGCCAGGTAGAGGAGAGAGGCTGGAAGTGTCCCACGGGATGCATGCGGGTGCCTGCCAACCGGAGGAGCTCCCTAGGACCCCACAGAAGTGGCCCAGGGTAACACAGTGGGCACTAAGCATCCAAGTCCAAAGAGCTCCAGTGGACAGAGTCAGGGGTCTGAGACACTGAACCTGGCAGGCCTGAGGGGAGGGGAGAAGTTTGATTATACAGAAAAGTCAGACTTGAGATTGTTAATCTGGACAGGACATTTTAATTACTAAGATGAGACTGTTCTTGGGACTAAAAAGTGTCTCGGGGATTGTTTATGATCTAGGAATGATCCGCAGAGTTAAGGGAACTTCCAGACTTCCACAGACTTTCTAGGAGTAGGGGGTGGGGATGGGGAACAAGTCTGCAGATGGAGTCTTAGAAAGGACAGTGGCAGTGGTGTGGGCTGGAGATGGTAAAGCTGTTTCTGTAGCACCCTCTGGAGTCTACTTTTTCAGCATGGTGGTTATGTTTGGAACAGGATGTCAAATCAAGTCATGCACCATCAGAACTTTTCCTTTCTAGTACAATTTTTTGTTTTCCTGAGGTTACATATGACCTCTTTTTTCATTTGCTTAGTTTTATATTTTATATTTTATATGGGGCTGTTACCATTCCCCCGCTTGCCGCCATACTCCATCAGTCTGTCAAATTCCTGTGAATCATACTTTCCTGAATGTCCAAATGCATCAGGTTCCCTCAGTTCCGTCTCTCCAGCACTGCAGACTGGTTTAGAGGGGTGCATTCACACCCTGCTGACCTCCCGAGGCGTCTCTTCAAAACTCTCCTGTGCCCCCTGGATTCTGGTTTACTATATATCACAAACTGACTGATTTAGGCAGAGAAGAGATTTTATTAAAACGATGCTGAGTGGCTCTCAGAATTTTCTATAAGACTAGAGAACCAGGCTTGGAAAACTGCATAGCCAAGAACCTTATCCCAAATCCCACCACAGGGCTGTCCAGTGAAAATGCCGCTGGGCCCCGGTGCACAGCTTGCATTGCTGCTATAGTGGGGGCTGTAGCTGACTTCTCTGTTGTCACCTGTTCCAGAGTGGACCTGAGCCATCTCTCTGGAATCACGGTCTGGGGTGGATGCTTCGCATGGGCAGAGCCTAGGTCATGTGCCTGCATGGGAGGCTTGGAAAGCAAGTTTTTTTTTTAACTTACATTTTTGTTGAGCACCTGCTGTGAGTTAGGCACTCTTCTAGATGCTGGGAAGATAAGCAAATAGGCAAAAAATGTCTGTACTCACAAAGCTTACATTCGAGATGGGGGAAAACACAGTAATCAAGTAAACAAGTTAAATATAAAGTTTACCAAATGATGGCACAGGCTATGCAGACTATAGAGAGAAAGCAGTGAAGGGAGATGGAGGCCTGCTGGGTTACAGTGCAGTCAGGATAGGGTGACATTTAAGCAGAGACAGAGGATCTGCAGGATCTGACATTTTCAGTGAGTGTGTGTGTATTGGGTGAAGTGGGGGTTTTGCCTTATAAGGTGAGTAATTTTCCCCGTAGAAGAAGTGTGTTCAGATGCTGGGCACCCCCCAAAAAGGCAAATGTCCTTTGCATTGTATTTTCCTTTTTCTTGGTTTAGCCCCATAATTTTCTGGAGTGTATCCTGCAATGGCTTGGTGAGAAAGGTGAGTAGGTATGTATGTCTGAAGGTGTTTCATTGCTGATGGATAGTGTGACTGGGTAATTTTAATAAGAGCGAACCTTTAAATGTTTACCATGTGCCAGGCACTGTCCTCACTGCTTTACGTGGATTAATTCATCCTCACATCAAAGAGGTGATAGAGATTATTATTATGCCCATTTTATTGATGATGAAACTGAGACCCAGTGAGGTAAGTACCTTGGCCGTGATCACAGCTGTTAAGTGGCAGGTCTAGGATTTGAAGTTGGGCCATCTGGCATCAGGACGGATCCTGTTAAGAATTTTGAAGAGAGAATTCAATTGTCTTCCAGCTTCCCACATTGCTGCTGAAAGTCCAATGCCATGATGATTTCTGATACTTGGTCTAGACTCTGCATTTCCCCCACTCTACCCCATCAATTTTTCTAGATAGTTTATGAATTTTCTGTCTCTCTCTCGTGTTCTGAAATTTTCTGTTGATGTGGGGTTTTTCCCATTCGTTGGGCTAGATACTTGGCAGGCCCACTGTTTCTGGAGACTCATGACCTTCAGTTCTAGACAGAGTATTAGTTCTTTGACTTTTTTTTAAATATAATTTCTCTACTGCCGGTTTCTAGAAATCCCCCTAGTTGCCTGTTTGGCTTTCTGTATTGATCCTCTACATTTCTTATGTTTTTATAATACCTAGCTCTTTGTCTTTTTGATCTGTTTTTGGAGGGTTTCTTTGACTCTTTTTCCCATCTTCTTTTTTATTTTAGTTATTTTTAGGTTGCAAAAGCACTTTCAGGCATTGTGCCTCCATTTATGGATGCAATATCTTATCATACCTCTCTGAGGAGATTTTTAGGATTTTAAACCATCTTTTTCCTTATTCCCTGTGTTCCTGTTTTCCATTCATTTCATCTGAGTTCCACTTGTTGATTGTTGTTACTCCTTTCAGGTTGAGGGTTTTCCTGACATGCCGATGATGACTCTCTGGCCATACGAGGATGTCAGATCTACTGACCCTCCCCTTTCCCCAACTGGTCACCCACTTGTCCTCACTTCCTTCCTTGCCTAGCTTAGTGTTCATTATAATTACACCTCCCCAAGCACCTTCAACCCTCTGCCTCCCTCTCCCCCTGTTGTTCTCACTGTTGGGCCCCTACCCTAGTTAAGATCGAACCACCTGTAGCTGTCTGTCAAATGGTGCTAGAGGAGACACACGGAACCCTGAAAGAGCCCAGTCTGTATCTGGGAGTTGAGAGCTCTGGCGAGTACTCTCCAAGCCTTGCCTCCCCTCCTCTGTGGGAGCTGGCAATGCCTCTCCTCTATCAACAGCCAAACCATCCCAGGGCTTTGCATCCACCCTCCCTCTTCCTCGAAGACTGTGCTTCAGCAGTGACCTCCCCTGCAGTGCGACTCTCGCCCTCTCCAGGGGTCACTCCTATTGGCATATAACTGTGCTTCAGGACCTGCCAGCTCAAAAAGCAAAGCCACCATGCCTTCCTGCGTCTAATCCCCCTCCTGCCACCGCCCCATTCTCCACTTCTGTTTGCAGCCTTTCTTCCCTCACTTCCCATTCTCTGTCCTCCTCAGTCCACCGACTGCTCTTGCCAGGTCCTCCACGGCCTCCATGGGGCCAGATTTGGTCACCCTGTCTGCCTCCATCTCACTCGTCCTCTCAGTAACATTAGGCACAGTGACCATTCCTGGTGGGCCCTAGCTGTCTCCCTGCACCGGCAGCTCCTTCTTGCCGCCCCCTGCTGGCGTCCCTGCCTCAGTCCTGAACCTGTGCACACTGCCTGGTCTGAGTGGTTGCAGGAGTCTCCTCATTGGTCTCCCAGCCGCCACCCTTGCCTCTCTGTGTTCTGTACCCAGCAGCCGGTGTAAATGCAATTTAAGATGTCAGTCATTCGACAGCGTCACTTTGAAAGCCCTCTGTCCGCCCTCTGTTCTTCTGCCCTGGCCTCCAAGGCAGATGCAGTGTCCCTGCTTGTCCTCCACATGACTCTGCCTCTCTTGCCACACTTGGACCATGCTGACCTTGCGCTAGGGCCTTTGCATGGCCCACTCCCTCCGCCTGGTGTGCTTTTCCAGCTCACCTGCCCATGGTGGACTCTGGACTTTTCTGCTTACATATCACCTCCCAGAAGGGTCTTCTCTGATCACCCAGTTTCTTTGTGTTATTTTACTCAAGAATGAAGACTTGGCCAGGCACGGGGCTCACACCTGTAATCCCAGCACTGTGGGGGGCTGAGGTAGACAGATGGCTTGAGCCCAGGAGTTCGAGACCAGCCCAGGTAACATAGTGAGACCTGTTGCTACAAAAAATAAAAAAACTAAGTGAACCTGGTGGCATGCACCTGTAGTCCCTAATACTTGGGAGGCTGAGGCAGGAGGATTGCTTGAGCCTGGGAGGGCAAGGCTGCAGTGAGGCATGATTGTGCCATTGCACTTCAGAGTGAGACTCTGTCTCAAGTAAATAAATACATAAATAAATAAAAATAAAAATAAATTTAAGAAAAGAGTGAAAACTTGTGTTTAAGAAGGAAAACTCCATGGGAAGCAGGACCTTGCCAGGGCCTAAAGCAGTGCTTGCTGCACAGTGGGCCCTGACTCCAAGTGGGTGGCACATCCTTTGCTGCGCCTGTCCATCTCAGTGATGGTCACACTGGGTGTCCATCTCCCCAGGGAGCAGGGCCACACTTAATTCATCTCATCTCAGTACAGGGCCTGGCACAGCCTCTAAAGAGGCTTGGCCACTATTTGTAGGAAAAAATGCATTTCTTGTTAATCTCATGTGAGCCCCAGTTTTGATGCTGCCCGCAGCTGGTACAGTGGAAAAGATGGGGACCATCTTTCAGACCATCGTGGACTGGAATTTTCACACTGTCTTGAGGACCAGGCGGGCTATTTTTGTAAGATCTCTGTTTTCTCTTCTGTGAAATGGGGTTGATAATCCATGTCCCTGCTCCTGGTGAGGCTCAGGTGAGATACTGGGTAAAAAAGTACTTTTATTTTTTAATACAAAACTCCAATAAAAGGGTATTTACATAACCCATTCTGCAGTTGAAATGTAGTGACCATTTATGGAGCACCCCTCTGCTATAATCAGGTGCTGTTCTCATGTTTATGTAGCTCATTTAATCTTTTCAACACTCTTGTGAGGCTTCTGGTAATTTTGCAGCTGAAGGAGCTGAGACTCAGAAGATGAATGACTTGTTGGCGATTCTTGGAGCTTGTGGTTCCTCTGATTTCTTAGGCTCATCCCCATCTCCTGCTAACTTTGGACCTTGTTTGTATTTCTAACAACAAAACCCCATTGCTGTTTCCGGTTTCTTTCTTATCTTTCTTCACTTAGTAATTTTGAGGAGAAGGGGGAGGTTGGAGAAAGTGGAGGGAAATGGGGAAAAAGGTGTTAGAAATTGCCCTGTCCAGCCACACACCCTAAAGCTGGGGCACAGGTGAGGCCCTCAGGGGGCCAGGGTGTCCTTCTGTGGCAGTCTGTCTATACCCTCTGGATTAGCTAATGGCTTTCAGGGAGAGTTAGCTGCCATCTTAGGAGCTATCTCCACCCTGTTTTAAAAGGTCTTTTGTCCTTTATCTCTTTCCTTTACTTCTCTCTTGCTCTCTGGTGTGCCTCTGTCTCTCTCTTGTTTTGAGGTAGGGTCTTGCTCTATCACCCAGGCTGGAGTTGCAGTGGTGTAATCACAGCTCACTGCAGCCTCAACTTCCTGGGCTCAAGCGATCCTTCCACCTCAGCCTCCTGAGTAGCTGGGAGTATAGGTGTGCGCCAGTAAGTCCAGCTAGTTATTTTTTTAAAAAATTTTTGGCAGAGATGGGGTCTCACCGTGTTGCCCAGGCTGGTCTTGAAGAGACGAGGTCTTACTGTGTTGCCCAGGCTGGTCTTGAAGAGACAGGGGCTCACCGTTTTGCCCAGGGTGGTCTTGAAAAGATGGGGTCTCACCATGTTGCCCAGGCTGGTCTTGAAGAGATGAGGTCTCACCATGTTGCCCAGGCTGGTCTTGAAGAGATGAGGTCTCACCATGTTGCCCAGGCTGGTCTTGAAGAGATGAGGTCTCACCATGTTGCCCAGGCTGGTCTTGAAGAGATGAGGTCTCACCATGTTGCCCAGGCTGCTCTTGAAGAGATGAGGTCTCACCATGTTGCCCAGGCTGGTCTTGAAGAGATGAGGTCTCACCATGTTGCCCAGGCTGGTCTTGAAGAGATGAGGTCTCACCATGTTGCCCAGGCTGGTCTTGAAGAGATGAGGTCTCACCATGTTGCCTAGGCTGGTCTTGAAGTCGTGGCATGTCTCTGTCTCCGTTTATACTTTGTCACCTCTTCTTTCTACAACGTCTCTGTTCCTTCCTTTTTGGTATTTCTCTTGATACTGTCTCTATTTCTGACTTTCTCTTTTTTCCCTCTGCATCTTACCTTGGTTTCTCTCTGCCTCACTTTTTACCTGTGTTTTTTCTTCCTCTTGGTTTCTGCCTTCCTGGGTCCGTATTCACATTTGGGCTCCTTTTACCTGCTATTTCTGGCAGTGCCGTGTTTGCCGTTGTGTTAAAGGAGAGTCCGTGTTGTAGCCCACCGCCGATGATGGCTCTTCCCTGCACCTGAACTGCCTAGAAATCAGAGCCTGGGTAGGACCAGACAAAGCCTCACATGGTCAGGTCCTGGGGCACTCGGGAGGAGGGCAGGCTCTGCAAGCCACTTCTGCCAGCCTTATGGAGTGGTTCTCAGACCCACCCCACTGCCTGTGACCTTATTCAGTTAGGGGATGCTTGCTGACCTCTCCTCTGTGTCGAGTCCTGTGCTGGGCCCGGCCTTCAAAGGGCTCCTGATAAGGATATGGACTTGGAGCCTGTTTGTTGTGACCAGAGCTGCACAGGTATTACCAGTTGTACACACAGGAGACCTGCAGGGCCTTTATGAATCACCTGCAGATTCAGGCTTCTTGGCAGCAGGTTGCTGGAGCCAGGCTTTGAATGATGAGGAAGCCCTTTGCTAGATGGTGAGCAGGGAGGAAGGCATTCTGGGCCCTTGCTATTTAGTGTGTGGTTTCTGGACCAGCAGCATTGGCATGGCCTGGGAGCTTCTTAGAAATGCAGAATCTCAGCCTCAGTGCAGACCTGCTGCATCAGAATCTGATTTTCACAGGGTCTCTGGGTGATTCCTGTGCATGTCGAAGCCTGAGAAGCACTGCTTTAGGCAAAGACTGTCTGTGCAAAGGCCTGGTAGAAGGGAAAGAGCTGGTATGTTGGGTAGTGGGGAGGAATTTGGTGTTGCCAGAGCAGAGATGGGCCAGAATGAAAACTGGACTCAAATCAAACAGTGGCTGAAAGTGGCCAGAATGGGCCAGAAAAGAAGATTGGACTTAAATTGTGCTGGGCCTTGAATGACTCCCTAAGGATGAGAACAGAGCTGGGGCATTGCCTGCTCCTTCTCAGAACTCAGACTCACAGACCCGCAGGCTCCCATGCTAGCGAAGGCCTGTAGGGATCATCAGGCCCTGCCTTCCCATTAGATGAATGGGGAAACTAAAGCCCAGAGATCCCAGGTGACTTGCTTAAGGCCACACAGCAAATCAGAGGAGGGACTAGACTCCAAACCCATGGCTCTGTGATGCCACAGCTAGTGCTCTTTTGGGAAAGTGTTAACTGATAACAATGACTGCTACTTGTGAAGGTTATGCTACATGCCACACACTGAACCAAGAGATTTCCATTGGGCTAATGAAACAGTTCTTTTCCCTATTGTGATCTCCGTTTAACTGACAGGAGACTAAGGCTCTGAGAGGTGAAGTCACTTGCATAAGGACTAATAAAAGAAAGAGCTGTGCTCTGAACTTAGCTTGGCGGACCCCGGGGCCCGAGCTCCCTGCTGTGCTCTCCCCACCTGGAGGAGAAGCAGACACAGGTCAGCTTGAACCTGGAGGCAGCAGGAAGGCACAGAGGCTTTTATTTATTTGTTTATTTATTTATTTACCTTTTAAGTTTTACCTTCTTTTTTTCTTTTGTTTTTAATTGACACATGATGATTGTACATACTGATGGGGTCCACTGTGATGGTCTGATACATGTGTACACTGTGTAATGATAGAGGCTTCCATGCAGGGCAAGGACATGGTTAGGCCTGGGCTCTGGGAAGATCACACAGGTGTGGTGATCACCAAGCGCTTGGTGTGGCCTTGGATGAGCAAGTTACTTCCTTAGTTTCCTCATCTCTGGGGTTTACAGGGCAGTTCAAGTAGAGGGTCCGAAGGTCGGTTCTGTGTCTGACTTGGGGTATGCCGTGCTGTGACTATAGAGGTACTGGTGGGTGGCTCAGCCTTGGACCCACCAGTGTTTTCCTTTTGGCCTGTGATAGGGTGTGAGTGGTTTCAGTCCTGGGGTGTGGGGTACGGGTGGGTGTAGTCAGAGAAACTTAACTTCAGGAAGGCAGAGGGGTGGCAGTTCTGTTGGGGGAGGGGCTGGTCAGCCCCTCCAGCTCGGCCACCATCGCTGACTCCTTCCCACATGTGATTCTGATTAGGGGGCCTGTGTAAAAGTTACCTAAACACCACTCTAATTACTCTGTTTAGGAACATTCACATGCGTGGGAGGGTGCCTGGCACTGGCTTCCCACATGTGCTGGGGGTCTGTGGGAGGCACCACGTTTGCACGAGCGTGACAGGCCCTGTGTTGGAGCTTCGCAGCCACCTGGGGCCAGGGAGCCTGCAGGAGGAGCTCGGAGAGTGCATCCCAGGGGTTCTCCAGCCCCAGCAGGCAGAGGGGTAGGACTGACCATTCTAGGTGCTTCTTGTTGAAAATTTCTCATCCTCCCTGTGAAGTAGGTGTTATTGTCCCCATGAAGAATGATACAGAACCTTGGAGGAATTTGTAAGCAACAGGGTGTGTGATTTGGAGTCAGCAAGACTGGTCCTCTCACTGCGTGACCTTGGGCAAGTCCCTTCACCTCTTTGAGCTGCAGTTCTTCGTCTGTCTGAGACCACCTGCCTTGCAGGCTTGTTATGAAGACTGAATGAGATAAAGCATGCGAGAGGATGTGACACGTCTGACCAGGGCCACCGTATTGCACAGCCCCCAGGGGC
Organism: Homo sapiens; assembly: GCF_000001405.40. Taxonomy (NCBI): domain Eukaryota; kingdom Metazoa; phylum Chordata; class Mammalia; order Primates; family Hominidae; genus Homo; species Homo sapiens. The sequence continues at coordinate 53,710,326 of NC_000001.11, read as the reverse complement.
TCCACGCTATGGCCCTGCGGCCGTGCCCACCTCTTAGGTGTGAAATGTGAAAGGCCATGGGCTGCATATTTCATTTACAGTCTAGAGGGGGATGCCTCCAGGTGGGGAATGATTCGGAAAGCCCCCCAGAGATGGAGACGGGTGGTGTTTGGGGGGCTTGGGAGAGCCTAGGGCAGCACCCTGGATTCTCTGGGGGTTCAGAAAGAAGGGGCTCCTCTTCCAAGCTGAATGGGCAGTCCCAGCTGGGGTTTGTAGCTGGTGGACCATCAGTGTGTGGGCAGCATGCATCCTCAGGGAAATTGTGATGTGGGCAAAGGTCTCTGGTGACTTGTACTTTACCCCACCTGTTCTGTACAAGTGTCCCCCTCCCATCCTGTACATCTGTGGGGACTCCCATGTCCCTTTGTACCTGTCCCTCCACCAGTCTCCCAACAATAAGGCTTTCACCCATTCAGCTGTCCACTCTGTCTTCATGCCCGTCTGTGTGAACATCCATATCTTCATCCACCCACCCAGTCACTGAGCAGCAGACCTGTGCCATGCCTGTCATGTACTCTGCTCTAGCTCTGCACTACACTATGCAGAGATGAATGGGAACTGCCTCTGGGGGGTTCATGGAAGTGGGTGTGGCTTTCTGTCGCTGACATTAAGGAGGGCCCATCAACACCCTGACTTTCCTTTAAAAATGAATCAGATCGGAGAGTAAATATGAATGAGTTTTTCCCTTCCATCTGTACACCTCCTTGTCCATTTGCCCATTTACCCATTCATGAACCCAGCTGTCTAACCCACCCACCCATCTATGTAACCAGCCAGGAAGCCATTTAACTGCCAGGAATCACCAACTTACCCATCAACCCATTCACCTTCACACCATCAACAAGTGTGTGTGTGTGTGTGTGTGTGTGTGTGTGTATATATATATGTATATGTATATATATGTATATATGTATATATATATGTATATGTATATATATGTATATATGTATATATATGTGTATATTTATACAGTAAATATATAAATTTATATTTACTTCATACTATTTAAATTAACAAGCATATTTTTAAGATCCCAATATGTGCGAGGCACTATATCAGATTCTGGGGCAAGCGAGTGACTTGGACTTGATTTTAAAGTCCCTTCCGTCTCTGACTTCTGTAAACACAGAAGCATAGGACAGGGATCCTACTCTCATTTATTCAACAAATCCATATACTCAATAAATAGTTGTTGAGCCCTTCTGTACCCAAAGTCAAATACTGTGGTGAACAAGATAGATAATCTTTGACTTCATGGAGTGTACTAGTGGAGGAGTACACTAGTACTCCATGAATGTACACACTTCATGGAGTGTACATTCTAGTGGAGGAGCCAGTAAACAAGTAAATGAATGAATAATGATTGTGGTAAGTGCCCCTTGTGTGCTGGGTACGGGCAGGCTCCCCAAGGGAGCTTGCAGCCTTGTTGGAGGTGAGACAGGTATGCACAAAGATAACGCTCCCCAGCTCTGCCAGTGTGTGCTGTGTTCCGGATGGAGTGCACTTTATCCATAAGGACTGCAGGTGGTCAGAGGGGCAGCCAGGGAGAACTTCCTGGGGAGGAGAAGCCAGAGGTCAGCCTGGGGATGGGCCTGGAAGTAAGCTGGGGGACCTGCTGAAACCTGTGCCAGCGTGCCTTTTGTTCCTGAGTTGCCTTCTTGATGCCCAGGAAATGGTAATTAGCCTGGCTGCTGACTTGCTAGGCGACACCAGTCCCGTGCACACTCAGCCCCAGTCCCAGAACCACCAAATGAAGGGGTTGGAATAGATGAGTTGCAAAATCTCCTGGACCATGACTCTGAGATCTATGAATTCAATTAAAAGGGGAGACATAATAATATTATATTTCATGGTGGCATTCTTGAATATATTAATACTATTTTGAGTAATAATCCTTGTGACAATCCTGTCAGGGAAGAAGTACTACCCCCACTTGGCCTATGAGAAAACTGAGTACACTCTGTCAAGCTGTCTTTAGCTTTGCTTTCCTTTCTTTTTTTTTTGAGATGAAGTCTCCCTCTGCTGTGCCCAGGCTGGAGTGCAGTGATGCGATCTCGGCTCACTGCAAGCTCTGCCTCCTGGGTTCACGCCATTCTCCTGCCTCAGCCTCCTGAGTAGCTGGGACTACAGGCATCCCCCACCACGCCCAGCTAATTTTTTTGTATTTTTAATAGAGACAGGTTTTCACCGTGTTAGCCAGGATGGTCTCGATCTCCTGACCTTGTGATCTGCCTGCCTCAGCCTCCCAAAGTGCTGGGATTACAGGCGTGAGCCACCGCGCCTGGTGCTTTGCTTTCCTTTCAGAGCTCTGGGGAGAGCTTCATCAGGTTGGATGGCTTTGCATGTCTGAAAGCACCAGCCTAGTGTGTGGGGCACACACTAGGGGTACACGAGTGCCATCTTTGTCCAGTATCTCATTTAAGATGATACATGTTGGCCAGACATGGTGGCTCACGCCTGTAATCCCAGCACTTTGTGAGGCTGAGGCAGGAGGATCCTTTAAGCCCAAGAGTTTGAGACCAGCCTGGGCAACATACTGAGACCCTATCTGTACAAAAGATAAGATAGTAAATGCTCACTTTCATTTCTTTTTGGGAAAAAAAAATCAATAAATGGTTTTGATTTCTTTTTTTTTTTTGAGACGGAGTCTCACTTTGTCACCCAGGCTGCAGTGCAGTGGTGCAATGTCAGCTTACTGCAACCTCCGCCTCCCAGGTTCAAGTGATTCTCCTGCCTCAGTCTCCCGAGTAGCTGGGACTACAGGCGCACACCACCATGCCCGGCTAATTTTTTTATTTTTAGTAGAGACAGAGTTTCAGCATATTGTCCAGGCTTGTCTTGAACTCCTGACCTCATGATCCACCCGCCTTGGCCTCCCAAAGTGCTGGGATTACAGGCATGAACCACTGTGCTCGGCCGGTTTTGATTTCTTTAATAGCAAGAATCCTGCAACAGAACATGTTGTTGTTAACTGCTTTCCTATTAGACGAGGATCAGACAAGTCACAGATAACAGCCTCATGGTCTTAAATGGCAGCCGGGACTTGAGCTCTAGGTTATGTGACTTCCCATACCTCATCCTTATCTTCTTTCTCCCCTCTTCCCCTGTCTCCATTTCAGGGCTTCAAAACAGCCTGGGAAGGTGCCAGGGAAGGAAGGGGACTGGAAGGGATGAGGGAGGGCTTTTATCCTATTATCCTTTCCTGCATCCCCCATATGAGGAAAATGGGTCGGGGGGAATGTCCTTACTTTTAAAAAAGAAGCTTCTGGGGCTCTAGGAGTCTTTCTGCATAGGAGAAATCTAGGTTTTGGTCCAGCCAGGAGCACTTTGTGATTTGACAGGTGCTGGTGAGGCAGATTCTTTTGTTGAAGGGCTTTTCGTGCACTATGCAAACGGACCAGCCCCAGCTTCCCTATTAATTATGAACATTTAGAAATGTTCCTGAGTATACCCCGAGTTCCTGCTCATGAAACTCTGCGGGTCAGAGGCCACATGTGTTTTGATTTTCTTATTTGAGGTATTATGTGTTCAAGGTAGATTTATGCTACAACCTTTGTTTATTGACTTGTACTTTTCCCTGTGAACCTAATGGAACATGACAGACAATATTTACAAGGCACGTGTTTCCGATTAAATCATGTGAGACATTAAAGGCCGATAAATGAAAGCCCCTTTGAAAGGCCAGGTTCAGAGAGAAGGAAGTGGTCCCTGGTGGGGCCTTGAAGGTGGAGTCACCCCCTCAGCTGGTTGCAGAAAATGCTGAAGGCGGCAGGCGGTCCCTTTGCTGGGATAGGACTGTTTGTCACCACTTCCCATCTAGGGACCTAGGCTGCATAGAGGTCTGAAGAAGGACAGAAAGAGCCCCTCTTCCTCTCAACCATCTAGGAAAGAAGGAAGGGAAAAGAACGCATCTTTTTTGAGCACCTACTGTGTGCCAGACTCTGTCATGTAAGTGCTTTCCTACAGAGACCAGCCCGTCAGCCTAACAGCTCTGAGGCTGTTACCATCTTGAAGGGGAATCAGAATGGCATGGGGCTAAGAATGTTGACTGCAGTTTGTAGGAAGCTTCCAGGTCCCCGCTCTGTCATTCACTGTCTTTGACACTGGGCAAGTTACTTAACCTCACTAAGCCTTGTTTCCTTGGTCACCTGTAAAATTAGCATAATAATAGTATCGATCTCTTAGGTGTGCCCCAGAGTACATTAGCCAATATTATTGTCATTGTTAAAGATAAACTGAGGCACTTTTCAAGGTCACTGCACATAGAGGATGGCAGCAGAATCCAGTCCTTCTGATTCCAGAGCCTTTCCCGAGGCTGCTTCGGTGGGAGGTGTGGGGACAGCAGATGGTCAGCAAGGGTTGGCCTGGCTGACTGCTGCACCAGGACCTGGGATATTACCTTGGCCTTCCTCGGACTTCCCGGGAGCATTGATGGGAAAGCTCAGTGGCAGGATTAGCCTAATTGGGAGTCTTTCCGCAGAGGCTAATTAAAGGATTTGGGTAAATATAAAAAGTGGAAACAGCTTGGGATGGAAGGCTCCCCTCACCTCCCTTCTTCCCTTTCCTCCCTTCTTCTGCCTCCTGTTGTCTCAGAAGGAGTCTGGGGTTGGCAGCTGCTGACCCAGGACTGAGCACAGCCAGAAAACTCACCTTTTTTTTCTTTTCTGCACACCTGGTGGCAGGTGACCTGAGAACTAATGAGAGCAAGATTGGATTTTCTTTTCATATTTAAAATGTCTCAGTAGGACGTCTAACTAGCTTACCAGTTGTTTTATAGGAGCAGAAGCTGCAGAGAAGAGAGAAGGAAAGATTCCTCCCCGCTCCAACTCCCCAAGAGGAAAAGTTTGCTTTTGGCAACATTGACTTTCTCTAAGATCCTGTATTGATCAGCACTTGCCATTTCCCTGGAGATTTACTGCCTGGTTTTTATTTAGATGCAGAGTGAGGGAGGAATCTGTGGGGATGGGGACGCTGCCTTTGGAGTCAGCCAGCTTGAAGTTACCCTCTGGCTGTATCTGCCGCTCGCCAGGAGGTACCCTGGGCAGGTGGCTCTCTCCTCCCAGGGCTCAGTGTCATTGTATGATACATAGTAGCTGTGGGAGTCAAATGCGATAGTAGCTGTGGAAGTTCTGAACTGGGCCCCGACACTGAGTTAGAATGTGCCAGATCTTCCCAGGAGGCAGCATGAGGCCTAGGAAAAGCCCTGAAAAGCAAAATGCCTCCTTCACTCTTTGGCGCAATGCTGTTAGGTACGTGTTGGGGGCAGGTGTGAATTCATGCGCTCCCTCTTCATGTCTCCTCCCCTGGCCTCACTTTACTCATCTGCAAAATGGGGAGGAGACTCTCTTTTCTGCCTCCCATGAGGTGGTGCCTGTGAAAGCAGCTGGCAAGCTGCAACCCCTGTAAATTCAGTGATGCTAACAACCATCATGCCTCATGTGGAGGGTTACAGAGAGCAGTTGTCTCCTTTAACTTCTGCTCTCTCTCACTACGAGCCAGTGCTTGGAGAGGAAGTGACTTGCCCCAGGTTTGGGGGCTGCTAGAGCCCACAGAGCCAGGGGCTAAACTGAGGTCTGCCCCGCTGATGGCCAGGCTGTCCTCCGGCTTCCCTTGGAGAGACCCTGGGCTCCCTGAGATGGAAAGCGATGGGCTCACACAGCACTACGCTCCTCAAGCTCCCTCTGTCCTAAATGAACTCCCCTCCCCACCCCTTCTCTCCCTTCCTTTCCCCTCCCTCCCACTTCCTCACCACTGTTCATCTGCTCACCCAGGCCCAGGGTGGCAGGGCTGTGTGTGGTGCAAGGTGGGGAGTCCACTGAATTAAAAGACCCCCTGAGGTCAGGGACTGGCTCAACAAGCAGGCGAATGGCCCTGCCGCTAATTCTGTGTGTCCTTGGGTAAGTTACTTCCCCTCTCTTTGCCCTGATTTCTTCATCTGTAAGACAGGATTGCTAATGCCTGCCTTATTCCTGCCATAAATTGGTTTAAGGGGTGGAAAGTAGGCTGAGAGTGAGCAGGTGGGAACTGGTGGAAAGTGCCATTCGGCAAGGTGCTGTTTGACACGGTGGTCCTGGGAGAGCACCCCAATTTCTGCAGCATTGGCTGTGGGCAAACATTTCTTCCAAGTGGGAGAGAAGACTTTTCAAAGGCCACATATCATCTTAAATGCACAAGTGCCACTGAGGGAGAAGGGTTGTTTGTTTAGTAGGCAACACTGATTCTCAGAACAAGCTAAACAAATCCCTCTTATTGAAGAATGTTGCTCTGGGCTAGGCTTGATTAAAATAGGAAAATCTAAGAGGCTTAAATGTGTGCGGTTTTGGTTGTGGAGGGATCAGGAGTGCTTCCCCCTGCCCTGTGTCTTGCTGGACATGGTCACTGAGTTGTGAGGCTACTGAAGGTCTGTGTAGTGATGGGCCCATTCAGCACCAATTTTACCAGTGAGGGGCTGGAAAGCCTTCCCGGCCCAGGCAGGCAGTATTCTGAGCACCTTCCTCTGGGCTCTGAATGCCTTGGGTTAGGAGGTTTGTGTCGAGGGCTGCTTGGAGACTAGTTTGCTCTGTGGTCTCTTTAGGTCAAGGGCTGTCCTATTGCCTTGATCTATTTGGAAAAGTAAGGACTCATGCTTTTTTTTTTTTTTTTTTTTTTAGAGACAGGGTCTCACTCTGTCATCCTGGCTGGAGTGCAGTGGTGTGATCATAGCTCACTGTAGCCTTGAAATCCTGGGTTCAAACAATCCTCCTGCCTCAGTCTCCTGAGTAGTTAGGACTATAGTTGTACATCACCATGCCTGGGTAATTTTTATTTATTTTTTTTAGAGATGGGGTCTTGCTATATTGCCCAGGCTGGTTTCAAACTCCTGGCCTCAAACGATCCTCCTGCCTTGGCCTCTTAAAATGTTGGGATTACAGGCATGAGCCACTGCACCTGGCCTGACTCATGCTTTTGAGCAGCTCTAGGTGCCAGGGCCTGTACCAGGTGCCCCATGTATGAGTCTCCTTTATACCTCTCTGTCTCTGTTTTCTTATCTGTGAAATAGAGATAATAATAGTACCTACTTTGTAGAGTGGTGGTGAAAATAAAGTGGGGTTAACACATAGAAAATGCATAGAACAGTGCCAAACACAGACCAAACATGCAGTAAACGTCGGCTTCCACCAGAGCCCTGCCAGGGAAGGATGGGGTAAGTTTTTACATTTAATGTAGCAGAGGCTCAAGGAGCTGAAGCCACTTGCCCATGCTGGCGAGTGGCAGAGCAGAGATTGGGGAGCCTGGGTCTGGCCGACTTTGAAGCCAGAGAAGATCTGTTGAGCAGATGAGAGCCTTGATGCCACGGTGCTCAGCAGAGGCCTTTTGGGGGACAGGAGAACCCCCTCATGAGGACAGGCCACGGTGGCCTTCAGTGCCATGCTCCCACAGCCCTGTGGGCAGGCCACGTTTCTGCAGACAAGATCCTGAGGCCTATGGGTGGGTGTTAGCAGACTGGTCAGGGTAGGCTCTTTGTTTTATGGCCATGCAGAGAATGTGGCCAGAGTCTTCTGTGGCTGAGGTCCCAAGGCAGACCTTGTCGACACAGTCGTTCCTCATTAATTGGGCTGGGTTGAATTTCAGGGCAGACTGTCAAGTGGCCGTAACCCCTGCCCTGGAGAGCAGCCCCCTCCCCTCACATCCTGCTATCTGAGGTCGTTGCTATGAGTGTGACCTGCCCAGAGCAGTGATAGGGAAACTCTGGCCTGTGGCCAGGTGGCTCTGGGTCAGCCGTCTCTCTCTCCTGTTCCTGCCCTATCTGGAAACCCCTGCCACCCTCTCCCAGGAGGCCACAGCTTCCCTACCTGGAACCCGGGGGCAGATGCCGGGGGAGGCTTCTTCATGCTCATGTGTGCTAATGTGTACTGCATGCTTGCCCTGCGTCTTCCACTGTTCTGAGCACTTTCTGTGTGCCAGCTCACCTGCTCTTCACCACTGCCCTGTGAGTAGGTTCTATTCTTATCCCCATTTTACAGGTGAGGAGAAAGCCTTGGCATCCTCCTGGAGAGGCAGCCTGGTGAGGGGAGGAGCAGTGACCTTGGAGTTCCAGCCATAGCCCCTTCTGACCCCACAGCACCCTGCTGCTGTGATGGTGGGGAGTAGAAAGGGATTTGCCATCAAAGTCACCTACATGGGCAAATGCAGGAGGGGGGACACGGGAAGCCTGCCTGCCTTCCATGAACATTTGTTAAATGCCAGCTCTGTGCCTGGGCTGACTGTGGAGGAAGCTGGACTTTCTTTTTTTTTTTTTTTTTTTTTTTTCTTTTTTAGGTAGAGCCTTGCTCTGTCACCCAGGCTAGAGTGCAGTGGTATAATCTCAGCTCAGTGCAACCTCTGCCTCTCGGGTTCAGGTGATTCTCATGCCTCAGCCTCCAGAGTAGCTGGGACCACAGGCGCCCACCACCACGCCCGGCTAATTTTTGTATTTTTAGTAGAGATAGGGTTTCTCCATGCTGGGCAGGCTGGTCTCAAACTCCGGACCTAAAGTGATCCACTGGCCTCGGCCCCCCAAAGTGCTGGGATTACAGGCATGAGCCACCACACCCAACCCAGTTCTTTCATTTTCAAACAAAGTGCATTTGCAGCAGTGTCTCTACGTAGGAGGCAGAGGGTCCTGGTGGTTAAGAGCCAGGGCCCTGCAGCCAGACTCTAGCTTAGATTTGAATCCTGACTCTACCACTTACCAACTTGGGCAATCATTTCTTCCTATGCCTCAATTTCTGCACCTGTAAAATGGGGCCACAATAGGGCTTAGGACAGTACCTGGCACGCCATGAGCACTCTCAGTAAGTGTTCCTTTTGACAGCGGAGGAGGGCGTTGGACAGCTGGGAGCTCTGGGAGGCTCTGAATCCCAAATTTCCTCTTCTTGGGGGAAGAAGACTTTCCCTGAGTCGGGAGTTCAGAACCCTGCCTAACCCACAATGAGATGGTACTTCACACCCACTAAAATGGCTGTCACCAAAAAGACAGTAACAAGAGTTGGCAAGGGTGTAGAACAATTGGAATCCTTATTCCCTGCTGGTGGGACTGTAAATAGTGCTTTTGCTGGGGAAAATAGTCTGGTAGTTCCTCGAAAGGTTACCATTTGACATAGTTACCATTTGACCCCCCAGCTACACTCCTAGGTTTACACCTAAGAGGACTGAAAGCATGGGCCCACATGAAATTTGTACCAAAATGTTAATAGCAGTATTATTCATCATAGCCAAAAAGTGGGAACAACCCTAAATATCTATCAGCTGATGAATGGATAAACAAAATGTGGTATATCTGTGCAATGGAATATTATTCAGCCATAAAAAGTAATGAAGTACTGACATCTTACAACACGGATGAGCCTTAGAAACGTTATGCTGTGTGGAAGAAGCCAGACACAAAGGTCGTATGTTATGTGAATCCATTAACATGAAATGTCCTGGACAGGTAAATCTATGGAGACAGAAAATAGATTAGTGTTGCCAGGGGCTGGGAGGAGGGGAAATAGGGAGTGAATGCTAATGGGTACAGGTTTCTTTTTGGGTGATGAAAATGTTGTGGAATTAGATAGTGGTGATGGGTGCACACCTCTCTGAATACGGTAAGAACCACTAAATAGTGCACTTTAAAAGGGTGAATCTTGTGATATGTGAATTGTATCTCAAATTTAAAAAGAAGAGCAAAAAACCAAACTCCTGCAGGATCTGACCCCTCCACCCCTTCTGGGACCCACCCTCACGCATGCTCCATGCATTTACACGAGCAGAGGCCATGCATTTACACGAGCAGAGGCCATGCATTTGTTCATGTTACCCTCCATCCTTCCTTCCTGACAGCCTGTCTTGGGCCGAGATGTATGCACTTCACAGATGCTGTCACAGGAAGAAACCCAGAGCTTTGGAGCCACGGAGCCGCGTACCCTCCCATTCCTGCCCCTTCCTCTAGGTCTTGGTTTCCTTACCTGAAAACAGGGAGAAAAGGAGGAGGAGAGACTCTGTGGCACAGGGCTGTGATGAGGGGGAGGTGAGGGCTGGCAGTGGCCTGGGGGGCGCATCCAGAGCAGGAGCATCTGACTACTCCATCGTCTGCTGGTTCCTCCAGGCCGAGGGCCTTGCGCACTGTAGATGTTCCCATTTGAGGTAGCATGGTACAGTGGGCTGAGACCCTGGCTGAGCGTGTAGTGGCCTCTGCCATCCCCTGATAGAGTCATCCCAGCTCAGAGTCCTGGCTTTGGGTCAGGGAAGCCTGGATTTGAGTCCCAGCCCTTCTTCTGGCTCTGTGACCTTTTGCTGATCACTCAACCTCTCTGTGTTTTAGGGTTGTATATCTCCCTCAGTTCATATGATGAAACCCTAACCACCAATATGATGGCATTTGGAGATGGGGCCTTTGGGAAGTAATTAGGATTAGGTGAGGCCATGAGGGTGGGGGCCTCAGGATGGGAGTAGCACCTTACAAGAAGAGACATGAGAGAGCTTGCTTTCTCATTTCCTGCCATGTGAGGACACAGTGGGAAGGTAGCTGTCCACAAGCTGGGAAGAGACCTCTCACCGGAAACCAATCATGCTGGCATCTTGATCCCGGACTTGCAGCTTCCAGAACCAGGAGAAATAAATTTCTGTTGTTTTGGCACCCACTCTATGGTACAGGTTGAGTATCCCTAATCTGAAAACCTGGAATCTGAAATGCTCCAAAATCCAAAACTTTTGAGTGCCAACGTGATGTTCAGTTGGAGCATTTCAGACTTTGGATTTTTGGATTCTCAGGCTAGGGATGCTCAACTGGTCAGTATAATGCAAATCTCCCAAAGTCCAAAGAAATCAAAAGCACTTCTGGTCCCAGGCATTTTGGATAAGGGATATTGACCTTGTATTTTGTCATGGCAGCTGAGCAGACTAAGATCAGGCATCAAGAACAATCGGCTGGGCATGGTGGCTCACGCCTGTAATCTCAGCACTTTGGGAGGCCGAGGTGGGTGGATCATCTGAGTTCAGGAGTTCGATACCAGCCTGGCCAACATGGTGAAACCTGTCCCTACTAAAAATATAAAAATTAGCTGGACGTGTTGGTGCGTGCCTGTAGTCCCAGCTACTCAGGAGGCCAGGGCAGGAGAATTGCTTGAATCTGGGAAGCGGAGAATGCAGTGAGCCGAGATCATGCCACTGCACTCTAGCCTGGGTGACAGAATGAGACTCTGTCTCAAAAAAAAATAAAAATAAAAATAAAAAACAAACAAACAAAAAACAAAACAAAAAACAATCATGGCTGTAAAACTCATAGCACAGTGCAGTGTGTGGCATGCACTGTTACTCTTGGGTGGCTCCTTTTATGACTCTGATGGTCATTATTAGTTGTGGGACCTTGGGCAAGTCACTTCAGTCTCCAATCCCATTTCCTCAGTGGGGTTTGGTGCTGCCCGCACAGGTTCGTGATGAGGGTCAGATGAGATAATCTAGGTCAATGGGCTCGTAAACCATGAAATGGCATGCTTGTGGAAGTGGCTGAGTTTTTATGGCAGGGAAACACAGGGAAAGCCTGGTGGAGAGGTGGCTGCAGGTCTGGAGGGCATCCCTGGCTGGAAGCTCTGCCCATGGACCTTTCAGGAAGTGGCTCTCTTCTGGCAGCAGCCTCGGTCTACCCGGACCCAGGTGGCAGGGCTGAACAGAGGTCCCTGGCTTGGCCAAGGGCTGGTGTTCTGTGCTCACAAATATCTCACCCCTGATGGGGAAATGGGGCCAGTGCCCACAAGCAGTGGCGCGTGCTTGGAAGGCAGACCAGGAAGATGACCTGCTGACTAGGCAGGGCAGCCAGTCTTCCTCACAGCTTTTTGGACCCTAAGTGAGAGAACCATGGGTTACAGGGAAGGCTGCAGTCAAAAGCTGCCTTCTGGGGAGGGTGAGGGGATGTAGAAGCAGAGGCTCGAGTTGGCTCCTGTTCCTGTTCCTTGACATCAGGGACTCGGAAGTCTTCCAGGTGGAAAATCACTGCCTGGAACTCCTTCTGCGTCATCCTCTGGAGTGCGTTCCGAGGGGATGTTGCCTGTTGCATTTGTCTTCAGAGCTGTGGCCTAAGGTCCTTCCCCAGCTCTGACATCTCGCACTGAAGCTGGGAGGGCGTGTTCCTGGGAGAGTTTATGAGACTTTCTGGTTGGTTCTTTAATTGTTTCCTGTTTGTTTGCTGTCTGGTCTGGGGCATTGGGGTGGGTGGGGTGGGGAGTCCTCGGAATGTTGGCCTGGGCAGCACAGAAGAGGGCAGATGTCAGGAAACGGATGTGGAGACAGGGAGGTTTTCAAACGTGAGGGCTTTGGTTGCTAGAATAACCCTGCTCTGTCCCCATCCCAATACACGTCCTTGTATTTTACATAGAGTGTTCGTTGTAGCGGTTAGAACCACTGGCTCTGAGCCCAGTTCCACCTCTTATGGGCTCTGTGACTTTAGCAAGTTGCTTAACCTCTCTGTGCCTCTGTTCCCTCATCTGTAAAATAATCAGTAAAAGTGTAGTAGCACTTACCTCCTAGGTTGTTGCTAGGATGAAGTGAGGCAATACGTGCAAAAGTGTTTAGGACAGTGTCCGCACCGAGTATATGCTAAATAAGTGTTAGCTGGACTGTGGAAGGAGTGTGATGGATGGGTAGGTCCTTCCAGAAGAGCTGTTTCTCCTTCCTCCTCTGCTGTGTAGTTTAGCTCCATGGATGCTTCTCGAGCCCTGAGCAGGGGTTGGATCTCTGCTGGGGGTGGATCACATCCTGAACCTGTCCCAGGAATGTTCACAGCCTGGGTAAGGGGAGGCCCCAGAACAGACAGTGGCCCCCAGAGGAGGGTGGGACTTGGGGGGGTGGCACTGAACCATGCTTTGAAGGGTGAAGAGAGGTCCCTTAGGCAGAACGGTGGGGAGGAACTGCATGTGCAAAGCAACTGGAATAGGAAATGAAAGTTGGCAGCAGAGTGAGAACCTCAGAGGGCCTTGAATGCCAAGCTAAGGAAGTCCCAACTCTGCCAGTAGGCAGGGGGAGTCTCTGAAGGATTTTGGGCAGGGTGACCCACTCAGGTTGGCATTGCTGTCTTTCCTCCACTTTCCTTACAGAGCCTGCTATTGTGTCATTCTTGGGGTTTGTTGCTGTGACCGTCTTCCCACTATCCAGACAATGTCCAAAAGTTCTTGTCCTGCCTCCTCCCAGCTCCCTCCCGTGGTCTTGAGAGAAGTAGTCCTCAGTGGTTATTGAATTCATTTATGAATCCACCCAGTGAATATGGACACACCTCCTATAAAAATACTGGTCACCATGCTAAGCACAATGAAGGGGCATCTCGAGAGGGGCTGTATGGGGATGCCACGTGGAAGGTATTCTGTGCCCAGACTCATGTGGCCATCTCGAGAGGCTGTCAGCCAGGGTTGAAAGGCGAAAGTCTTTAAGAGACAGAGTTCTGCAGGAGTTCCAAGAGTGGATGATGACCTGTTCCAGCTGGGGGAGGCAGGCAAGGCTCCGTGTGGGAGGTGGGCCCTTGAGCGCTGGCGGGAAGGGAGTTCCAGGCGGCATGGGCAAAGTGTAATGGTGGGAAAGCAGACAGCACGTATGAGGACAGCAGTGAGCTCTGCTTGGCTGCACGGAAGGGCACGTGGAGGGAAGGAGAGAAATAAAGTTGGAGGGCCTCATGAGCATGGCCGGGTGGGGTGAGGGTGGGGGAGTTTGATTTATTTTCCTGTAGGTAGAGGGGGCCATGGAGAGTTTTTAGCTATGCTTTGGTAAGACTAATTTTCACACCCTGTGGTTCTTTGGAGAAAGGGCAAGTGGTGCATTTTTCGATCTTTCAGATGGGTCTGGGTCGTGGATCCTGTGTTTGCAGAAAGGTAACTTGTTACGTGAAACCTCTAAAAATCCTCAGATTTCTGCCTTAATGAAGGAGGCAATATTTCTCCCTTAGATTCCTTAAAACTTGAGTTTCAAGTGGGGAATAGTGATGCATAATTTATTTCTTCTGGTGCTTGATCAGAGATCTCGAGGGAAAGAACAGGAAGGAATTAGTGAGATCTATATTACAATTTAATTGCTTGAAGGAAAAATATTATTTTTTATTGTTAGCCATTAGCTGCTTCTAGTTTTATTAAACTCAGGCCTGTGCCGAGCAAAGCATTAACCGCTTGGAGCTCGCCAGCTCCCTGAGGGGAGGGAAACCTTCAGAATTGTCCCACCTTGTAAAGCAGGGGTAACTGCTGGGAGTGGAGAAGCCCTGGGGATTTCATGCATTGGAGACATTTCTGGACTTGGAGTGCAGCCTGCTGACTGCGAGTCTGCCTGCATTCTCAAGAGATGCTCTGGCACCCACAGCTAGGGGCCAAAGAGGGCCAGGAAAGGCCCCTGGCCCCTGGGTCAGGCAGACCTGAGCCTCTCCTAAGATGAGTGATCTTGGCTACATTGCTTAATCCATCTTAACAGATGAAGAGTTTTCATTTCTAGAGGTAGTTGCTAGAGCTAAATGAAACACTGTATATAAACCCAATACCCTTGTATTCAGTAGGTGCTCAGTAAAAGCCAGTTTTTGGGTCCCGGTGCGGCACACTTCTCCAGGCCATCTCCCCTCCTTTGTTCTGGCTCTGGGCTCCAAGCTCTTGTCTACCACCCCGCGCCCCTCCTGCCTTCCTGAACTGGACCTGGGGCCTCCCAGGACACAGGGTGGAGGGAAGAGGCCCAGGGTCGGGCTGAGCCCTCCGCTGTGCTGGACATTCACTGCTCGGTGCCTGCTACTTATGTGGCAGTCATGGCACCAGTGAGATGGGTCCCTGCCTTCAGGGAGCTCCCAGCTGGCTGGCTGAGGACAGACAAGTCGCTGCCGTAGTGCCCTGTCTGTCACCTTCTTCTGGTTAGTCTTCAGCTCACCCAGCCTGGAAGTGACTCCCCTTGACCTCTGCTTCTCTCTCATGCCGCTCCTTCATGCTTCACTACCAGTTAGTGTTTCGTACACATCCTCCCCTTAGACTTGCACCATGAACTTGGAGGCCTCTCACTCCCCTTTTACACATGGGAGCTGCAAGCTCTCGAGGTGAGATGACGGCCTGTGGTCACATAAGTGGGGATTTGGGCCGCACAGTCCAGAGCAGCTGAGAGTAGCAGAGCCTGGGGGCTTTCCTCTTCCTCAACCCACCCCCACCCCAGCTGACAGTCGGCCTGCAGGGCTTCGTTACACACACAGGGCTTTTTAAACAGATGCGGGCCTACTGTGGATTGTAATGTTTTCATTGACTTGCCTTCCCTGACTTATTAGGAACCACTTGCTGCCTGGCCGTGGTCCCTAGTGTCTGGGGAGGTAGTGAGCCAGTATATATATTTACGTATATTTAGAGATTGGGGTCTCACTGTGTTGCCCAGGCTGGAGTGCAGTGGCTGTTTGCAGGCACGATCGGAGCCGCCGATGTTTTCAGCCACCCTTCCGTACCAGTACCGTTGTCCTGTGCAACATTTCATGCTTACCAAGTGACCCTACAGCCTGGATTTTTTGAGGCAGCGTTAATTTACTATGATAGTGAGAATTTAGCTCCTGCTAGTGTGTGTGCAGGACTGTGCTGTGTGCCCCACGTAGCCCAGTCTGTAATAACTCCTTCTACCCCAAGTCCCAGGTCCGAGCCCTTGAGCAGCCTGCCCAAGGCCACACAGCCTGTAGGAGGTGGAGCTGGGACCCCAGCGGTGTCTGCCCAGCTTGGGCTTTCTTCCTGGGTGGTGCTGCCGCCTCAGCAGGGCCCCCTCTGCATGAGCTTAATTCATGGGCTGGGCCCAGCTTGGTACCCAGAAGGTCAGGTCAGCAGGGCTTTCCTGGGCCAGCAGGGACACTGGGTGCAGCCCATTGAGAAGAGAAGGCAGAAAGGGTCCCTGGCAGGGCCAGCCGGCTCGCAGAAAGGGAGTGAGGAGGTATAAGCTTGGACTTGAGTCCACAGGGTGAGGTATGGGGAGGGGAAGAGAACAACCGCGTTCTGAGCACCTACGGTGTGCTGTGTGCTTTGCTGATGTCTTCTCTCCTTGTCACCCCTCCCCCAGCGCCCCTGCCGTTTCTCACCTAGAGGGCCCACCCCCTCCATTTGGCCAACTCCCATTGGTCTTTCAAACTCATTCAGGGCCATCCTAGACCTGCCCTGACCCCAGATTGGGCCAGAGCCCCTTCTTTGGGTCCCTGCAGTCCCTAGAGTGTCCCTCCATGCAGCACTGGGCACCTGTGTGGTGGCCGCCTGTTGCCTGTCTCCCCTACCAGGCAGTAGACTGCAGGGGCCGGGACTGTTTCCTCCTCTTCGTGAGCCCAGTGCCCACCGTCAGGCCTGGCCCAGGCAGGCGCTCAGGGAAAGCTGGTTCAGAGTGACGGTGATGACACAGCCTCCTCATGTCTGCGTCATGTTTCCTGTTTCCCAAAGCATCTTCTCATCAAGGTCACTTTGAGCGGCACAGCCATCTGGAGGGTTAGGTAAGGCAGCGATCGATGAAAAGGCACGCTTTCCAGGTGGGGGCACTGAGGCTCAGGAGGCCACCCAGTGCGGTGGTAACAGAGCCCGGCCTCGACATCCCGGGCTTCCTGCACCATCCCCTCCCCTCTTCAGTGCCGCCAGAGCGCCTGCTTTATGATGCCCACACCCTTGGCGACCCCGAGGCCGGGACTGCTTGTAATCAGATTGCCTTCCTCCCCACTGAGCTCATGCTGCTGAGGGAATGGAAATTTGGATCTGTGGGCGGGGGTGAGAGGCTGGGCTGTGGGGGCAGCTCTGGCTGGGGTGCTGTGGGACCAGGATGGGATGTGGTGGCTGGGGGAGCATGCCAGAGCCAGACTTAGCAGTTCTGGCCTCTGGCCACAGGGGCTGCTGAGAACCATCTCAAGTGGTTGGCCAGATGCCTGCCCCCGAGGGCTGGGTGTCCAGAAGGTTTGGGATGGTCAGCAGCAGGGAAGATGGATCTTCTGAGGTTAAGTTGGCCATATTGGTGGCCTCCAGAGACTGAATGCCCCCAGGGAGACCTGGGTTCAAGTCCTGCCACTGACTTGACATGGGGCCATGGCAAGTTACAGCCCTTCTCTGCGTCAGTTTCCTCATCTGTAAAGTGGGATAATAGTCTCAGAAGGGGCTGTAGGGAGGATTAAATTATGAAACAGTGCGTGTAACATATGGAGCCACGATGATTTCCTTGTCTGCAGAGTGGAATGTACTTTGCCCTGCTTCTCTGTCTGGGTTGATACGAGGTCTCGACGAAGCACCCTCACACTGTGAAGTGCTGTGCACCTGTGAGGGACATACCTTCCTTCAGAAAAGATGGACATGGATGTAGAGGGATAGAAAAGGGCTCTGGAGGTGCTTCCTGGGATGGGATGGGCCCCTGGGAGTCCATTGACAGAGAGGCCAGTCCAGCCAGTGAAGATTGAGTGGGTTTCTCAAAGACTTTGGGGTTTGCTTAGGGTGGCGGTGCCTACCATCCAGAGAACTGGGCCTGCAGGGACCTTGGGCAAGCGTGGGGTTCCAGCCCAGTGGGGAGAAAGCAGGCCCGAGCTAGGATGGCCTGGGTTTCCCCAACTTCCCTTCTTCACAGCCAACTTCTAGCCAAGCCCTCCAAAAACTCACCCCCACCTGGGTCAGGGTCCCCCACTTCCACTCAGGCTAGAGCCCACACCCTCAGTATCCCTCCCCCAGCTACACCCACAGTGGCTGAGAAATGGGGCTGCTGGAAGCTCCATTTCTCAGCACAACCCCAAACTCTAAATCAGGGACAATAGTGGCACCCACCAGGCAAGGCTGGGTGAAGGTTACTGTAACCCTGTAGGGTAACACATTAATGTGTGTAAAGCACACAGTAAGTGCTCAATAATTGCTAGCTATGTTTATTGTTATCGTTACGTCCTTCAGGTTATTACCACATTCTTTCCATGCACATCTCAAGTACATTGGATACCATTGCTATTTTATGGTTGTGTTGAGTCCTTTTACTCTTCAGGCAGTGGGGAGCCATGGAGGGATTTTGAGCAAGGATATGACATAGGGTTGAGCTCCAGGATGCTGAATCTGGCAGTGAGTTTAAGCCTCATTACGTGGTGTGCTTCGTTCAAAGGGGCTTTATTGTTCTATAGTAGTTTTAGAAATAGCTTTTCAAACCCTTCCCTCTTTAGGTGGGGAAAAAGAGAGGTTGGATGAGAAGGAAAAGAAAGCTTGTGTTAGGAAAAAGGGAGGCAGTTTGAGGGGTCAGGTATTTAATAGAGATAGGGAGAACTGCAGAGTGGGCTGCAGGCTGGGTGTGAAATTGCCAGACACTGTCTCCAGGTTAGATTATAGGTGTGGAACTCCCCGCTCCTCCACGACTCCTGTCCATATGGGCCTTGCTGCTGCCATGGTGGGACTAGAGTAATGGTAATATACATCTCTCTATGCTTTCAGAGACACAGTCACTGGGGCGGAGTTGGTTTAACTGTGGAACCTGGTAATGCTGGGTGGGTGTGACCCTGGGTTGGAGTGGGGGTAGGAGGGAGGTCAGGATTGGCCATGAAAGGAATATAGAGGCCATTTAGAGAAACTGCAAATTCAGTAAGGTGGAGCTGTGCAGAAATGAAGGACCCTTTATTAGCAAATCCGAAGCTCGGCCAGTGTATGATTTGATGCTGGCTGAGTGGCTGCAGGGAGTGGCTGGTGGAAAAGGTGTGGAAGCTCCAGGCGAGGCGGTTGTTGGGAGAGGGAGAGGGAATGGAGGAGGAGCAGTGGTGGAGGAGCTCATGGACGTGGGAGAGCATGGAGCAGCAGGGGGCTCAGCTCCTCCCAGTCCGTGTGAATCTGGGATCCTGGGCCCGGGGTCCTCATCATCTCCAGTGATTCTGCTCATGGAGTCCAGAGTGGGCCCAGGATTCTGAGGGCAACAGGCAAAAGGCCAGACTTTGAGGAACATGGATTTAGGTTTATGTGTGTCTCATGTGGTGGTGGGAGGGGGGATGATGAGATGAGCAGGGCTGGGTCAGATGGGGATCAGTGGGCAGCAGGTGGTGAGAGAGGCTGGGCCTGGGCACTGAAGCTCCCACTGTGGGTACAGCTGGAGGGACACAGCGGGAGTGCGCCCTAGCCTGAATCTCTACAAAATTTTTTGTAGAGATGGAGGTCTTGCTGGGTTGCCCAGGCTGGTCTTGAACTCCTGGCCTTGAGTGATCCTCCTGACTCAGCCTCCCAAAGTGTTGGGATTATAGGCATGAGCCACGGCGCCTGGTCTCTCCCTTCCTTTTTGACAGGCAGTGTGGGCAAGTGCTTGAGGAGGAATGTGGACCCTGGAACCTGGGTTTGCTTCATCCCTGCTCCTTCACTGCTAGCTGGACAACGTCAGGAAGATTACCTGTGCTTCAGTTGCCCCAGCTGGAAAAAGGGGGACATAATTGTATCTACCTCAAGGGGTTGTTGTGAGGATTACATGTCTAGATTTATGCAAAGCGGTTGGAGTGGCACCTGGTTTTTATTATTCCTGCTCCAGCCACACCCTTGGACAGTTCTCACATCGACATCATCACCTGTTTCCAGTGATGCCAACCCCTCTGCCGGAATGCCCTTTCCTCCTTCTCTGTCTGTTAAGGCCAGTTCAAATGTCCTGCCTCCTGAGTCTCATTTTCTCAGCCGAAAACAGGGGTTAATCATCGCTGCCCTGCCTGCCTCTCTGGATGACTGAGGGAAAGAGAGACGGCCCTGGCATTCTGAACAGCACTGGACAGCGCAGGCTGCGCCACAGCGTCCTGCTTGTTCTGTCATGTCCATTGCCAGATGCAGACGTTGAAGCCAAGAGGTGCTGTGGTTAAAGTGTCCTTTCTCCACCCTCCAAACTGACCATTTGGCGGCCAGTTCAGGCAGAGGCCATTTGAGATTTGGTTCCTGAAGCAGCCCCCGCCATGTCTCATATGAGGCCAGTGGAAGCCGCCCCAGCTGTGTCCTGCAGCACAGGTCTTCACAGAACAAGGGCCTTGGAGACCACCCTCTTCCCCATCATGCGCTGATGGGGGCAGCGGAGCCTGGGGCAGTGAGCCATCCCTGCCTGTGGCCCTGAAGATGCGGTGTCGTGGTGCCGAGCGTTGCTGGGCGGTGAGGCTCCCTGGCCTGATGCCATCACTGTGCACATGTGGTTGATGTTTGATTCCTGTTCTTTACCCTTTCTAGCCTATGCTGGGGATCCAGAGATAAATCAGCTTCAGGCATGACGCAGGGTGCTCACAGCAGAGGGGGCAGGCCACCAGGTATCAGATAATGACCACACAGTGTGACTCAGGGTCAGGGAGCCCAGTGCAAGGTGTGAGAGAGCTTCATTTGGGAAGAGATAGGCTTGTGTTGGCCTGACAGCAAGGGGAAAGGCATTCCGCTCACTACGTGTAGCCCAGAGGTGCACAGTGGTGGGGATAAACCGGCTCTGAAGGGCACATGTGGGCAAGTGAAGGCTGGTGAGGGCCAGGGGCCTGAGGGCCAGGCTGAGCTCCTAGGACCTCATCTGCAGGGGCCAGTAATGGGCGCTGAGATGCCTCTCAGAGGGGCCTGGTGGGGGTAACACATCACAGATGCCATGCTCCTGGACAGGGGAGGTCTGGTCTCAGGCTGTTACTGTGGGCCCAGAGAGGGGCTCGGTTTGCCTAGCATCACACAGGGCATTGGTACTGCCTGTGGCCAAATGGAGAAGTAAGTCTTTGTTTGGGCTAAGTGTTGAGAATGAAGACCTCTTGAGCGCTTGCCTTCTACTGTTCTCAGGCAGAAAGGTCACAGTGCAGATCTTGCTGGGACTCCCTGTCTCTGTGGTCACTTGCTCTGGTCTGGCCGGCTCTCAGCTCAGGATGTTTCTGGGTGGGAAGATACACGGGACTCAACAGGTGGGTCAACTTGGTAGACAGTGGAGGGCTGCAGCCAGGAGGGAGGACTGGAACCAGAGCCCAGCCAGGGTAAATGCTTCTTGCCAGGAGAAGGAGGGCAGCTGCTGTGAGTCCTGCCCAGGCAGGTGGTGCCTCTGTGAAGCCTCTGAGGCCTCCTTCCCTCTGACTGGGCTGTGGCTTCTCTGTATGTCCACTGGCCCCTGCTTCGCTCCATCACAGCACTTACTGCTCTGAATTGAAACTCTCCACGTCTCTCTTTCTAATGACTGTTGAATGAGTGTTGAGGTGCATGGACCAACTGTACCTTTGGGCTGGTCTCTTCACCTGCCCCACCCTGTGAGGGTGGAGTGTAAGGAGACCATCAAACGACCTGAGAGAATGTGCTCAGCCATCCACAAAGTGCTATTGAAAGCAGGGGGCTTGAGGAAGAATGTGGACCCTGGAGTTCTAAGACTACTGTGACAGTTTTATTCCCCAGCCATGCCTGGCCCAGAGTCTGGCCTGGGGGTGTGGCTGGTGCCTCTGCACTACTCTTGGGCCTTCATGGATTCTGCCAGCAGGTGTCCTCAAGGTGCCCCCAAATGAATTCGCTGCCATTGGGCAAGATCAGGCACTCAGTAAAAATTGAAAAACGAGTGGTGCAGCCCTTTTAGAATTTTTCTGGCAGGTTTTTTGGTTTTCACCAGAAAACATCCCCCCCCACACAAAAACCAATTTAAAAACTACTTATTTAGCAGGTTTTTCCTTAGCACCTCTTCCTGTACATGACACCGTATGGGGGCTGTGGGCCTGCCCTGGAGGAGCTCAGGGTTTCCTGGGGAAAGCAAGACAGTCACCCATCAGCGTGAGACCAGGGAGGAGGAATGTGCTGTGGAGCTCGGGAAGGACATCCTAGTTCCCAGTCGGGAGACCAGGGAAGTCTTTGTGGAGGAGGGGGCATTTGGCCCGGGCACTAAGGAATGGGCAGGAGAGCAGAGAGGGTGGTGGGAAAGGTGGCACAGAGGCTGGGGGACTGGGTGTAGTCCCTAGTCCCTGGCTCGGCAGGACTGCACAGCTGCACGAGGGGAGAGCCCCCTTCCACCCGCCACGTCTTCCCCTTTCCCCACCTCTACCCTGCAAAGTGCTCAGAGCACATTTTGTAGGGACTAGTCAAAATACAGACTCAGACGGATTTATCCCCCATGAGCCCACACTCGCATTCCTGGGCACAGGAGGGAGCGATGAGCCCGTGGGGATGTTTGCAGAGAAAACAGAAACGAATGAGTCTGGTGAGGTGCTCTTCTTGAATCAGGGACCGAGAGCGGGTGTCAGCACGCCACACACAGGGCCAGAGCCTGCCGAGCAGGAAACGCGCTGGGGCAGGGCCAGTCTGGCCTCCAGCAAGGCAGCCCCGGTTCCTCAGCCTCGACAGCACAGCACGGTGATCTTGATGGCTCCAGGGAGGGCCAGAGGCTGGGTCCTCCGGGCTTGAGGTGGGGCTAGGGGCACAGCCGGGCCCGCTTGCGTCTAGGACTCTTCCTCATCTATGATGTGGTGGACGCCACCAGCTCCCCGAGTTGGGGTGAGAGATGCGGGGAGGTCAAGCACCTGTGCCTGGGAGCCTGCACAAGTGGGAGCAGTTGTCACTGTCCCCTGGTGACATGGGGGCCTGGGGCAGAGAACACCCTGTGATACCTGGTTAACTGGAACCCCCGTTAACCAGAACTCCTGCCCACTGTCCGTCCCTTCGTGAAGGAGGTGGCTAGATGCTATGGGAAGACCCTGGCTGGGTGGTGGGCGGCGGGGGCTCTGACCTGGTGCTGCCCCTTCCTAGCTGGGGGGACCCATTGCATGTAAGCAGACCTTGTGGTTTGGGGAAGAGAACGCACAGAACCACCCGACAGCAGGGGGCCCTTCAGGAAGCTCCTCGGCTCTCACAGGAGAGCGGGGATGTACTCGGGTCTTCCATGAGGAGTTATTGTGGGGGCTCAACTGTGCGAGGCCTGACACGGGCTTGGTGAAGCGGGGCGGGCTGGTTGGACCGGGTGATAGATGTTGTCCTTGGAATGACTGGGAGTAAATAATTAGTGAAAGAACTCCATGGGAATCCCTTAGGAGACTCTTTCTTTCTTTCCACTGCCCACCCCCTAAAAATGTCTGAGAGACCCAGGTGGGCGGGTGGTGCCTTGCAGGGTATGAAGGGCCTTGGGAGCTGGGACTACTTCCGTCCTCCTCTGCCCAAGAGGCAAGCGGCCCCTTCCAAGTCCAGCTCTCCTGCCTGGCTCTGGTTCTGCTCCCACAGTGATTCTCTCGTTTGCCTCATCCTGGGAAAACCTTTCCTTAACTTCAGGAGATTCCGGGTTCCAGTCCATGCTCTGCCCCTCGGAGGCTGTGTGACCTCGTCGAAGTTACTTGGCCTCTCTGAGCCTCAGTGGCCTCACTGGCAGTGGAGTAGCTCTTGGGAGCCTCCTATACACAGCTCTGGAATCCACTGTGTACCAGGGCAAAGAAAGGGCTCAACACTGTCAGGAAGTTCAGTTAGGTGATGGACACGGTGATCCTGCAGGCCACAGTCCCATCTCCCTAGCATGGTGGACAAGGCCCTTGGTGATCTGGCCACAGCAAACTTATTGCCCCACCCCCGCCACCGTTCAGGCCACCTGGAACATTTCCCATCCTCTGAACCCGTCACACGTTCTCATGCTTCTGTGCCTTTGCATGGTCACTCTTTTCTTGGCTGGAGAGCTCCTATTTCTCTCTTAAACCCAGCTCAGATGCTCCCTCTTGGACTCCTTCCTGTATCTTTCAAGCAGAGTCAGTTCCCCTGGCCAGAGATGAGCACTGTTTTCCCTGCATTCCAGTTTATCTGCTTCCCTCGCTGCCTCCCCCCACAGTCTGTGAGCTTCCCAAGGAGAGGGAGAGGATCTGATTCATCTGTGCCTCCAGGGTCCAGCTCAGGGTCTGCCACCAACCAAGCAAGGACCATTCTCCTGTGCTCACAAGGACCTCTGCTCTCTTTCCTAACCTTCTTTCCCACTTTGGAGGGAGAAAGCACTGCGGATGAGAACAAAGCAATGTCCTCCATCAGAGAGGCTAGGGGGCTGGTGGAAAGTGGAGTAGGCTGAGCCGGAGGGGAGAATTGTGCCGTGTGGAGCTGAAAGATAACAAGGGGCCACGGTCTGACTTGGCAGTGCGTGGCCTCCAGAATGGGCTGCAAGGGAATCTTCCTTCCTTCCTTCCTTCCTCCCTCATTTACTGAGTACCCAGCTTCAGGGCAGTCATAGCTCCGCTCCGTGGGGAAACAGTGGAGCATGAGAGAGAACCTCCTAAAGGGGCTTTGCAGTCTGGTGGGAGAGATGGAAGGAACAATGGCCATAGGTGGGCAGCTGGGATCATGGCTGCGGGAGTGGAGAGGGGCCAGTGAGCAGCCTGGTGGATGACAGGGAGATGAAACTAGATGAAGGGCAGGGGCAGAGGGGGAGGGCAGGTTTCTGACGGAACCCATGCATGAGAGGGAGTGGGGAGAATCTGAGGTGGGGCTGGCCACAGGCTGGCTGGAGGGCTCAGCAGGGAGCAGTTCCTGAGGCCAGATGGCTCAGCACAGTGGCAGCGGCTCCCAGCAGATCTGGCTGCGGGATGGAGGACAGATTGAAGGGCCAGTCAGGGGCAGGAGCCTCAGACCGTGGTAGCGGTGGCCAGCGCTGAAGCCGCTGGGGAGAGGAGGGGATGGGTTAGGACCCACTATTTGAGACCTGACAACTGACTGGATGTGAAAGCTGAGGGTGAGGGAGACAGTCACAGGCAAGGAGGGAAGTGACAGTTGTCTCAGGAAATAACTTGTTGGAAGAGAGGGGAAAAAACACAAAGAACTCAGCAGGGATCTCTGCAACTCAGGGTAATTTTGGCTTCGGAGAGTCAGCCTGCTAATCAGATTGTAAAAATCAGGTACCAGGGTTTTTGCAGAAAATGCAGCAGATCAAAGCCAGGGTCGATTAGGCTCTGATTAAACATTGCCGAGGAGGTCAGACTCATTACGGAGGAATGTACACAGGCCGGCAGCGCTGACGGGGGATAATAACAGATCGCGCCCGGCAGCGCAGACACCACGGCGCTCTGGGGACGCGGTCCTCCGCGGCGGGGCGGCCACAAGGAATGGTATGTCCGCGGGCTCCAAAGGGAGTGAAGGTGCAGGGGTGTGTGGCAGCATGTAGGGTCAGCTGCATGCTGTCTAGTCTCCTTCTCTGTGGCCTCTGGATGGGGAGTGCTCCTGTGAGCTGGGCATTGGCAGAGGTCAGCCAGGACACCCGTCTTGCTGTCTTTCACCTTTACCTGCTTGCTCATGGCCTTTTTGCTGGGGGAAATGCCTCCCCACCCTCTTCTTTCTTCTGTGTCCCTCCCAGAACTCTGCCAGCATCTCCTCCAGGAAACCTTCCCTGACTTCCACCCCAGGTCAGGTGTCTCCTCTGGGTCCCCACAGCCTCAGAGCTCTGGCTTATCTCCCCTCCCGTGAGTCTCTTGATGGCAGCATGACTCTCTGTGTCCTCTGTTTCCAGCTCAGGGCTGGGCAGAGTGGATTCACTGATCTGGGCAGAGCCAATTCCCTGAAGCCACACAGCAAGCCAGGCTCCACTTGCCTGCCCTAAAGCAGGCCCAGGACTTCTGCTGAGAGGTGGTCATGGGGTAGGGGTGCTGGGAGCCTGCTGGCCAGGAGGAGAGGAGAGGCAGGTGGCCCACCAGGCTGGTGTGGGAGCTGTATGAAGGAGATTCATGGCAGGGAAGAAGGGAATGAGTGCCAGGCTGAAGAGCCTGGATGTGACCCTGTGGGCACTAGTGAGTTCTTGATTTGAGGTAGTGACAGAAACCAAACTGTGCTTCAGGAGGTACTGGAGGGCCCTCCATTTCTTTGGCGAGAGCAAGATTCTCTGAACAGCCACCCACCCTGGTGGCTTTGACCTCTACTTGTTGCTTCACCTCACAGTGTGAAGTGAGGCTCACCTGCAGTGGTCCCCATGAACCATCTTAAGGGCCCCAGGCTGGTCCTGACCACAAAAAGCCCAGGAGTCAGAGGGAGCAGGGAGACCCCTAGAGGCTTCTAGGCTTTCCCACGCTTTCCCAGGGTTAGGAAAATCGGCTGAATTTGGTTCACACATTCCATAAATACACAACACCTTCTGGGTGCCAGCCCTGTGTTGAGTTCTGGGGAGGCCCTGAGGTTCTAGCAGCCTGGCTCCCTCCAGAGAGGGTAGGAGGAGCTGGACTGCAGAGATCTTGGGGGTGGGGAGGACATGGACCCAGGAATGCCCTGCCCATCTGAGGGAGACATGGACACCCCCAGGCCTGGCTGGGAACTTTGGAGTTTAGAAGGAAGGAACACAAAAGCCCTTAACCTCCCAGCTGGAATGTGGACACTTCATCCATCCTGCTCTCCATCTCTACTCCAGCCCCATAAATGTCCAATTTGGGGAAAAGATTCCACTCTAAGCCCCAGCAGAACAAGGTGATTAAGAAACTGAGCTCCATAAAATTGTCCGAGCTCTGGCAGGCGGGGTGGGTCAGGAGAGTCCCTGAGTCTCAAGCCTGGCAAGGACTGTACAAAGCCCTCATCCTTCTAGTCCACATCCTCCCAATGCACAAATCCCTTCTGCAGCATCCCCAGCAAGTGACCACCCACTGTGTGCTTGAGGGTCTCTCTTGACAGCTGCTCAGTACCTCCCCAGGGTACCCAATTCAGTGCTGTGACACTCCATTCCTGACAAGCATTTACCGGGCACCTCGGTCATTCTTTCATTCCACATGCCTGCCCGTGCCAGGTCTTCTGCTAGGGCTAGAAACAGAAGAGCTAAGGCTAGTACCTGCTAACGTCCTTGATGCATGCTGTGTGCCAGACACAGTGCTGATTTATGTGGATGATCTCGTGTGATCCACGTGAGAACTCTCTGAGGTAGGTGGTGCCCTCATTCTCCCCATTTCACAGATGAGGCCTGCAGAGATAGAGTAACTCACTCAGGGTCATGCAGATAATCAGAAGCAGGGCTGGAGCTTGAACCCAGGCTTTGACATCATAGTCTCTGCTCATGGTCATTGTGCTCCACAAGTTAGGAGGCCTTTGGTTGGGGGGGCTCAGGCTCTGGGGACTGCCTGCCTGCGGTTATAATCACATTCACGCGGTGTGAGGATGCCCGTTAGCGGGTTACTGAGTGTGAGCGCTTGGATGAGCACCTGGCCATTGGTAGATGTTCAGGAGGTGTTCATGGTGTATATCCACAGTGCAGGTTGGGGAGCCAGGAATGTGTCTGCCAGAAGTGGGACCCCAGACTCCATATGCCAGGACTGAACTCGCCTTCTTTCCTTTCCTTCTAAAGCACGGTGCCACCTTCTGCCTCAGTGCCTTTGCACAGACCATTCCCTTGACCTGGAATCCTCTCCCTTCCTTTGCTGCAGCCTTTGCTCACTATTTCCTCATTCTTCATGTCTCAGTTCATGCTGCTTCTACAGGGAAGACTTCCTGATTCCTCTCCTATGTATACCCCCTTCGTGCCTCTAACAGAGTTGATCGTGTATTATTTGTATGGTTCCTTGATTGCTCTCTGACCCCTCACTAGGTGCTGAGCTCAAGGCAGGGACATCTGTTTAGCTCATCATACAGTTAGGGGCCACAGTCCCTCTGTAGGTAAAATGGCAGGGTTGTCTCAGATAATCTTCGAGTTTCCTTCCTATTCTGGTCTGATTGAATGAGCTACTGCTGCACACTTGTTATGAAAGGCAGCTCCTCCTAGATTAACCAATGGTGAAAGGGCCTCTCCTAAGCCTTTGTCTCCTTGCCTGCCCCTTGGCTCTGCGTTATTGCCCCTGAAGAATCAGTTCAGACAGGAACGTGGGTGTATTCTAATAAGCGAAGTGCTGCCAACTTGCAACGCCAGCACTTAGGGTCTCTGCCAGGGCCCTTGCCATCTGCCTGTGCCTCAGCATCCCTTATGGGGACACATATTGAGAGGTAACCTGCAGAGGAAGGCCCTCTTCTGATTATGTTCAGCTTACTTCAGTCATCTACAGAATGAGAGGGCCATTCCCCCACCAGAATGTGAGCTCCTCGCGGGGATGCAGGGATGCAGGGACTGTGCCTGATGCACCTTTCATCCCCCCACTCCTTCATGCCTAACACACAACCTGCCACCAGGTGTCAGCTGTGTCAGCGGCTGCTTGCTGGATGGCTGAAGGAGTGAAGAATGCATGGCTGCAAGCGGGTCTGGAGTTGGAGTCGGAGTCCGGTGGTGAGCGGCTGTGTAGAGGCAGAGGGGTGCCTCACCTTTACAACAGGAAGCATCTGTGCAGGGCTGGTGCGGACTCTGCCTGGAACGGCCCCCGCTGGCCAGATGCCAAGAGTTTATTGCATGCAGCACAGCAATTTCAAATTTCCTTTATTTTCTAAGAGCCAACGAATTAGTTGAAAGATTAAGAACACTTGCAAAGTAGCCTACAAAGTGGTTTAAGTTAGTGTAGTATAAACTCAGCACAGAGTGTAGCAGGAAGGGAGGGGAAGCAGTCAAAGAAGGCCCCCGAGAGCAGGAACGTATTGCTGGCTGGGTGCAGATGGCTCTACAGAAGAAGAGGATGGGGGAGGAGAGAGGGGGTTCAGTCCCAGTTGCTCCACCCACCCACAGCAACCTCGAATGCACTCAGCTCTGAGCCATCTGCTCCCTAAGGGTAGGTCCTCCTGTGTCCCACGCACCTAGAGCAAAGTGGGGGCTTCACAAGTCTTTGTGGGGTGGTTACCACTGGTGGGCTCAAGCCCTTTTCCTACCTCTCCTTAGTAGTCCTTGAAAAGAAATAGCCATCCTGGAGCTGTGGAAGCTGCAGGAAGTCCAGTCCCCTGCTTTGTCAGCAGAGAGAATATGAATGCTCTCTTTCTTGGCTGCCTGTGACTGTCCAGCCTGGTGG
This sequence comes from Homo sapiens, assembly GCF_000001405.40. NCBI lineage: Eukaryota > Metazoa > Chordata > Mammalia > Primates > Hominidae > Homo > Homo sapiens. The sequence continues at coordinate 53,681,528 of NC_000001.11, read as the reverse complement.
CATCCACTTCTCCCATTTTACTCACAGTTTTACAGGAATTCTCCCTTGTCTCTGACTTGGGTCCAGGCCCCTTTCTGGCTCCAGCCAGTATATCCCTCCCTACTTGGCATTGTCCTGGGAGCAGGGCGGCCAGTGAGGGGCGGTGGCAGAGATGCAGGCAGCAGATGATGAGGCCCTGAAACTCTGCCTTGTTGGACAACTGTGGCTGGCCCCATCTCAGCCCACCTCAGGCTGCAGCCCTGGTTCTGATGAGCAGCCCTGGAGAAGAGCATGCCATCTACTCATAACCCAGCCTAGGTACTGACAGCTGGGCATGCGTCTTCACGCAGCCACGAACTCAGAAAAGAAGCTGCCAGTGTGGATCACGGAGCAGTGGAGGAGTGCTGGAGTTTTCCTCTTTAACTTAATTTCAGAGGCTTGTGTGGACCCAAGGCCGAGAAGAGGGGCCTGCATCCTCTCTCTGACCCTGGCAGATAGTATCAGCGCAGTCAGGCTGAAGGCCCTGGAAACATTGACCCAGCTGTGTCCAGGGTTGAGATCATCTGGCCAGCGTCTGCTCAGGGTAGATGTGTTGGGCAGTGGCCACATGTGTGCCGTCTTGTGGAGAAGTTCACCTTGGGCACAGTGAAGGGTAAAGCTCTTGTCCACAGTCAATTCTGCATCTTCAGATACGTCTCACCCTGCTCATTTAGACAGCTGTGGGATTAGATCTGATATTTTATTCCTGCTGCTTAGTAGGGAGAATCAGTCTTAGAATAAACTCAGATGACCTGAATGGCTTTGGTTTTGGAGTGTCTTTCATTCATTCATTCATTCAGCAGATAGTAGGAGCATCACACCTATTCCCCCAAATAGGATTTGTTTTCTGGCCACGTGAGTTTTAAAACCTTCTCTGATATTAACAGGATGACTATCACATCTTCTGAGGATCACATTTCCATGTGGTCTACAGTTCACAGAACACTTTCCCTTCTGTTATTTAATGTTGTCAAGGTGAGGGGCTTTATTATTCATCTTTTGCAAGAGGAGGAAGAGGCTCAGAGAGGTTAAGTATCTTGCCCATGGTGACACAGCTCTGTCAGGAGCAGAGGTCTGTGGCTGTCCCCTTCCACCCCAGTACTGGTGCCACTGAGTGGTGGGCACCACACTCGTGGCATAGATCATAGTCTCTACTTCCTGCCAAAAAGCAGGGGTTTGTGGACAGGGAAGTACATTTTCTTAATCGTTTTGGGCCTCCGTGTTCCTATCTATGAGGCTTATGTGATGGAAGTCTCCCTCCTTGCCTTTCCTTATGAAGACGTTAAGGACAAATGCCGTATTTGATCTGAATTTTTTTTTTTTAAGCTGTTAGTGGCTGAGACAATCTAGGTCCTTTAGAATCTCCTGTGAGTGGAGACCTGCCTCCCTCCCTGCCTTCTCCCTCCTTCATTCAGCAGACATTTGGGCTGGGGACTGGGGATCTGGAGAATTCGACCTGGCACCTGACCTTGAGGAGTTCAAAGACATGTGGCCTGGATGGGGTGGTAAGGAAACAGGGGTCTCCATTACTGCTTCCATATTTGGGGGCACCCTGGGTGCCACAGGAACATGGGGTGGCCTTTCCAAGGTCAGGCTGCCTCAGGTGTGGGTAGGAGCTGTTGGTTTTCAGCTCTAAGTATCCTCTTTACAAGAAAGGACCAACGAGCTGGAGAGAGAAGTCAAAAAGTTGGGCCAGCATTGTCCACCGTGTGTCAGCATGCTACAGGGGCTTTCCAGCCCTCCCCAGGCCCTCCTCCCGGCAGCGCCAGAAGGCAGGAGTGATTGCTGTCCCAAGGAAGCATGCTCAGAGCAGCCAAGGGGCCCGTCCAGGAGGCATGGCTGACTTTGAGCTCTCATCTCTGTGGTTCTGTGGCTCAGACTTCTCTCTGGGACACAGTGGCTGTCAGTAGCCCTCCCTGGGCTCTGTGTAAATGGGGCAAGTGGCTTTCTGGGGCCCGAACAGGAGGGGCCAGGCAGCCTGTGGTTTGGGCAGGGGTCTGAGTCTCTGAGTCTTCACTGCCTCACTCTGGGCTGGCCCTTTTTCCTGGGTTCCTCCTGGAGCAGCAGATGCTTCAGGTCAGACGTTCAGCCTCACATCTGGTCTCCCTCCTACTTTCATCTGAAACCCAACTCGGATTGTCTCAGTAAACAAACAGTAAATTCAACAATACAATCTTCTTGAAATGCCTTGTAGTTATTTTAAGGCTGTTTTGGGGTTTATTTTAATTGCAGGCCCAGCTCCCACAGTCACGCAGCTGCTGCTGGGGGCATTTGTGGCTGCCACCTCCCTCTCTCCTGCCCGTTCCCCCTCGTAGTGGGCCCCTTCCCCCTCCCATCAGAGGTCCAGGGTGGCCTGGAGGTAGTGGAGGGAGATGAAGTGGGATGTAAGGTTGCTCCCCCGTGTTTCCCGCTTCATCTAAGAACGCCGGCAGCTGCAGTGGCCACGAGCCCAACTTCAGACCTGGGCCTGGTGGGAAGAGGACATGAGAGGTGGGGGGTGACCTCCCAGGCTGTGGAGGGTCATAGGGAAGGAGCAGCCAGGGGCTGGTTTTAGGTTTGCTCCCTGGGAACCCAGACCACAGGCACACCACACTTGACAGCAGAAGTGGGCTGGAAAGTTGGGTCCATAGAAGGCAGATTCTCTGGCTGGGAAGGGACCCTGGAGTTCAGCTTGTGCGGTGCTTTCCATTTCCAGTTAAGGAGACTGAGGTCAGAGACCTTTCCCCCTTCCCCAGGCTGAGGCCTCACTCTTGCTCTGCTCCCGGCTGTTCTTGTCTGTGTTCTGGCTGATAGTACCAGTTGGCAACGCCCCAGTGATGCATTCATTTAACTCAGGGCTCGAACTCAGCAGCCTTTTAGTGCCAAGAGAACTGGGCAGTCATGGTGACTGTTGGTACTTGGACAGGCTGTAGGTGATGTTTCTGTGCCCTTAGTACATCTCTGCCATCACCTCCCCATCCATGGCTGGGGGTGCAGGTACCAGCCTTTTCTCATTAATGTGAATTAGAAAATATTGTTGGTGCTAGGAGTCCAGAGACCTGGCTTTTGTTTTTTTTTAATGATGCCAGGCAAGTGATCTAACCTCTCTGAGCCTCAGTTTCTTCATCTGTGTGGAGGTTGAACAGCTGCAGCCCATTCTGAGGCAGTGACCCCGCTCCCCCCTGCCCCCCACCCCCCCCCCCTCACCCTCCTGCACTCCCAGGCCACCTGAGAACTGATGGCTCAAATCCGCAGAGAGGTTCTTCGTGCAAGGGGGCCCTCTGGGCATCTGCGGCGAGCTGCAGCTCAGCGTGGCTCTACAGCAAGGGTGGCAGGCACCTCAGGGGACATCTGTTGGGGACATCATCAGGTCTGATGGGGGTGCCCACTGCCTCAGGAGCATGGGGAAGAAAGACCAGGATCAACAGACCTCGGGCCATCCACAGCCAGTATGTTTCCCAAGGAGCCGGTGGTGCCAGGGAACTGTGGAGGAATCCCACGTTTGGGGGCTGTTTTCTAAGTGCCAGCCATGGTGGTGGGGACCTCAGGTGTATCTTATTCTCGCCACAGCTCTGGCAGGAGACATCAGTGTTTCCATTTGACACTTGAGGAGACTGAGGCTCAGAGGGGAAAGTACGTTTTGGAGGCCTCGCAGCAGTGAGATGGGAGGCAAACACCAGAGACTGTGCTCCTCCCTTAAGCGAGAAGAAGGCTTGGAGGAACGCCTACAGATGGGCAGTTCTTGAGGTGATGACAGAGAAGCAGGGAGAGGTGAGGAGGCACGGCAGATCCCAGAGATGGCGTGACAGCAAGCGTGAAGTGAAGGTGCTCCTCGCGGGTGCCCGCGGCTGGGTCCAATCGGACTGGGGCCCAGGCCCTGGGAGACGTCTGGTCTGGGCCTGCAGAGGCCCCTCAATTTATTTGTACATCGCCAGATGTAAACTAATTTGTTTAGCAAGAAAAAACACATTTTTATTGCCTTCCAAACTGGGTTGTTTTTCCTCTGGCTGTCTGTCTGGCGTTCAATGGCCAGGCCGTGGAGCAGAGCTTTTGGGAACATGCTTAGGTGTTGGTGAGGCGAGTCTGTCATTTGCGGGGTGTTTCTCCCCATTGGGTCCCAGAACCTGGCAGACTCGAATTCCTGCCCCCGCGCCATCCCCACTGCCTGTACCGCCTTGGCCAGCCACTCGGCAGCTTTGTGCCTACATCTTCTCACCTGGAAGGTGGGCATCCCTGCTGGTCCTTCATGGAAGGAGCCTTTCTGGTTCCACCAATTTTGTTCGTTGGTGAAAAGTGGATGTAGCAACCGTAACTCCCATTATAACTAATCTACACACTCACTCTGTTGATGGAAACACTAGCTCCTCGGGAAGCTCATTATACCCCTAATGTGCGTCTGTCATCAGAGCTGTAGGCCGGCGTCATCCTCAAGGGTAGCGGGACAGGGGAAGGAGAGCTTGGGCTTGTGCGGTACCTGCTGTTTGCGTTGCTCAGCTAGGGGCTCCGTGTATGTCACGTCATGCAGTCCCAGAGACCTGTGTTACATTCTGGTTTTGTAGATCAGCCTTAGCAAGGCCAGAGGGCCCGCAGGACCGGTAAGTGGGATTTGAAGGCAAGTGCGTCCAAAGCCTTCTCATTCTAGTATGAGGCAAGAATGAAAGAGAAATTATAATAAATTCAAGGGGGTATTAGAACTCCTAGCCCTGAAATGAGGCTGATGGGGAGGGATACAGCCTGGCTTGGCCCTGGAGAGCATTAGAGGGCACTCTTGGAGGTCAGGGTGGAGGGTGCTTCTGGCCTCAGGACGCACACGTGAAAAGCTGGAAGGCTCAGCCCGAGGGCTGGGGAAGGACCTGTGCCTTGCCTGTTTCAGCCTGATTGTCCTTAAGGAACATGTCTGTGGCAGGGCTGGGGCTGGGGGTGCGTGCGGGGTGCTGGTGATTTCTAAATATCTACATCGGCCATGCCTGTAGACTGTGCTGGATTCTGGGGACTAGCCCTCAGGGAGTACCCCATACAGTGAGGAGGTGGAAAGATCCTCAGGAAGACCCGGGCAGGGCCTATGGGGGTGTGTTGGATCTCCTAGGCTTGGAGGTTCCTCCCTGGGTTGCTGTGCCAGGGTGTGGGGGAGGCGGGTAGCCCAGCCCTTAGCCCAGACTGAGGAGGAGACTGAGTTGGGGAAGGGTGGATGCTTCTCAGTCCAGGCCTGGGCCGATTGCGCTCAGAGCTTTGAGGGGAACCACGATTCCTGCCTGGTCTTCCCTGATGAGTCTTTCCTTGTCCCCACCCCTTAAGTGGAGCCACTGAGGCTGACACCCTTGGGGCCTGTGGGGTGGGGTATCCCCAATTGTTGCATCCCACAGATTTGACCAAAACCTCAAACCCCAAACCAGAGCAAACGGTGTTAATTTGCTGAATCCCAAAGTGAATCCAAGGATTAATTTTTTTTTCCCTGAATTGTGAACCAAGTCTACGATTTCTTCTTCAAAATAAAAGAGGGTTCTGTTCAAGACATTTCACATCTTAACTGTGCCTTTTTTCCCCCTCCTGCTTTTGCCTGGGGATTTTTGGACAAGGTCCTGATGGCTGCTGGCTCCAGGCTTCTCTCTCTGGGCCAGGTAGGGAGAGGAGGTGGGATGGGGTGGGGTAGGAGCCGCTGTTCTGTGGGGTGGGGGTTGGGGGAGGTTTTGGTGAAGAAGTGGCAGGACAATGAGCGCTCCAATTGGAAGGAGCCCAGGGCCAGGAGCCAGAAGACCTGTGTTCGAGTCCGGACTTTGCTGCTCTGTGCCTCTGTGTGAGAGCTGCATCTCTATAAGCCTCTGCCAAAATGAGGAAAACCGTCCTCTTGCCTTCAGAGCCATGAGGAGAAGTCCCCTGGCAGTGTCTATCTGTGCTTGAGGCCAGCTGTGAGAGGTGGTCAGTGACACCTGTGTGTTTGCACAGCTCCTTGCTTCATTTTCTTACATTTCCCCAGACAGGTGTGGGAGAGAGATGATATTTTTCTTGCCTTGGGAGATCTGGGCTCACTCAGAGTGGGGCCATGACTTGCCCAAAGTTGGGCCCTAATTTGGGTCTGAGCCAGGCACCACCCAAGCTTCTGATTCAGGGAAGCAGCAAGGGCACGAGCAGAGCACAGGCTTCACCATCAGACCCTGCTTGAGCTGTGTGACCTCAGGCCATATACCCTCTCTGAGCCACATCTCTAAAGATGGAATAATAATCCCAGGTGAGTGATTTTCTTGTCCTTGCTAGGATTAAAGCAAGGACTCAGAGCCTGCACACAGAAGACCCTTGGAGAGTAAGTGAATGAATATTAATTTAACAGGGTTTGGGAAAGAGGCTATTTTGGGGAATTTCAGGATGCTGGAGTTATCAGGACCCTCACCCGTAACCCCAGTCAAGCAAAGCTGGTGGCTGCAGACAACCAGCTGTCTCCAGGTGAGATGCTGTGACTCCTTCAGCCCATGAGTCTCCTGGCTGGAAGTGAGTGAGGAGAGCTGAATTCACCGAGTGTGTGCAGGCAGACTGTCCCTGCCGCTCCTGGGCTATGGCGAGTGAGTGACAGCTCCTGCAGGGCACTTCTATTTGAAATCTGCTTGTAATCTCTCTTAGCAGCCTGCATGCCAGGCTTGGCTCATCCCGCACTGCCTGAATGACCTCAGGCCAGTCTTGCCTCTCTCAGCCTCAGTTTCCTTTTCTGTAAAAGAGAAATTTCCTGCCAGCTTTGGTGGGGTGGTGAGCCTAGCATCCCTTATGTGAATGACTTCAGCTCAATCCCAGGGGCCTCTGGATCAGCCTTGGACCACAGCCACATCATCAAGTACTTCATTACATGTTCCTCAGGTTAACATGCCTTTACCCTAAGCCTAAGCTCTGGACATCAGAACTGGGCTGTGTCTGCTCTTCTCTGCCTCTCCTAGTGTCTCGCACCATGCTGAACATCCTGGCTAGGTGTTCAGCAACAACAGCAACAAGAGCTCACATGCCTGCAACTCCTCTGAGCACATTTACATGTATTCCCGTCCCCATTTTACACATGTGGAAACCAGGGCACAGAGAACTTAAGTAATTTAGACCTGTGATTTTAAAAACAGTGTTTCTTACACTTTCCTGTACCTAAAAATCACCTGACAGGCTTGTTAATATCCAGATTCCTGAGCCCTGTCCACAGAGATTCTGTTTCAATAGGTTGGGGTGAGAATTTGGATTTCTAGCAGGTTTCTTGGCGATGCTGATGCCACTGGACTGTGGACCACACGTTGGGTAGCACTGATCAAAGCCACTCTCACACAGGTATTTGCAATGTTTTCACCCCCATCTTAATGGATTTTTTTTTCTTTTCTTTTTTTTTTTTTTTTTTGAGACAGAGTCTCGCTCTGTCACCCAGGCTGGAGTGCAGTGGCATGATCTTGGCTCACTGCAACCTCTGCCTCCCAGGTTCAAGCGATTCTTGTGCCTCAGCCTCCCAAGTAGCTGGGATTACAGGCGCGTGCCCCCATGCCCAGCTAATTTTTGTATTTTTCATAGAGACGGGGTTTCACCATGTTGGTCAGGCTGGTCTTGAACTCCTGACCTCAAGTCATCCGACCACCTCGGCCTCCCAAAGTGCTGGGATTACAGGCGTGAGCCACCGCTCCCGGCCTCAGTGGATTCTTAACCATAACCCTGATGAGGAGTCAGACCACACAGGCTTCCATGCATTCTTGCCTTCATGCGGACTTCACCACCTACCGTGCACCAGGCATTGTGCTTAGCATTAGGGAATGTATAATGGAGAGTGGCTTAATTCTTGTTCTAGAGAAAAATAGGCCCAGAGAATTGAACTTCGTTCTTTTGTTTTTCTATCCATCTGTTCATCCAACAAATGCTTACCAGTGCTGTTCTGTCTCAGGCCCTGAGCTGGGTGACTGAGAAGAACAGATGTAACCCTGGTTTGGAGGAAATCCAGTGTAGTGGGAGATGCATGAGAAGCTCGGGGAGTAGTAGGTGTACATAGGTAGGGGCCACTGGGGAAGTAGGTGTCAAAGGACTCTTTCCGAAGGAGGTGACTTGCCCAGGACCTCACAGCTGCTGAGCGTAGTCAGGGCTTGAAACCACGGTTCCCCTACACTGTGCTGCCTTTCTGTAAAGCCCTTTTGGTTCATTCCCTCAGCACAGTGTAACTGGAGGCATGGGTATATTTTGTTTTTCCTGTGTATCTGGGGCTGAGTTTCCCTGGCCAAGTCGCCCCAGTGGTAATCTAGGCCCTTTCAGAGTCATTTTATCACTGCTATCTCTAAATCACTGCGGCGTTCCACTAGCAACAACAACAAAAATTCTGTGGGCATGGTGTGGACAAGAGGTTAAAGACATAACACTTATGAGCCTAAACTGAGTGTGGGCTCGGGAAATGAAGGGGGGCTTGTGGGGACCCAGATTGGAACAAGGCTTCCACCTCCACTGGCGCCACTTAGGCCTTTATAGGCATGAGATTGTGGGGAACACGGAGTGCTTGCCAGCTCAGGGAGTAATGTACCCGACACTGGAGCGACCTGGCTGGGCAGAGACCTGGGGACAGTCTGGCTATGTTGGGCCTAGGGGAGGGCCCACGCTGCCTGAGCCCTGCAGCCAGTCCCAGCAGAGAGTAGGGTAGGGCCACAGCAGCTCCAGGGCGCTCTTGCCACTGTGGGCAGCTACATTTGGGAGATCACGGCCCGCTTTTATACCCAGCCCTGAGCTGGGTGCTGTGGGGCATAGAAAGAGAGAAAACTCGAGGTTTGTGTCGGGAAGGGGAGATAGAGGAGCAGGTGGAAAGTCTTGCAGGGCACATTGTCAAACAAAGCATCAGAGGCTGCAGGCAGACTTCACAGAGACCTGCAAATGCAAGGCCTCAAAAGCCAACTGGGTTTGGGTTGGCAGAGAAGCCCTGTTGTCAATCCAGCTCACTGCTCTGTGCGGTTAGAGACTGCTCCAAGACTCACAGCCGAATAAATAGTCCAATGATAGGGGATGTTCTGAGTACTAGAGAAGCACACAATAAGTCACTCTAGGCCCAGGGGTAGGAGGTGATCAGGGATGGCTTCACAGAGTAGGTGATCTTGGGGCTGGGCCTTGAAGGATGTGTAGGAGTTAACAGATAGGAAGGTAAGAAAGTATTCCCGGAGGAACTCCATACAGCTCTGAGTTGAGTCAGGTGGGTAGAATGGTTCCATTTCGTACAAAGGAAGGCGGGGCTTGTGGAGGTGGACTGACTTGCCCAAGGTGATGGAGGCCAGACCTCTGGATTCCTCATCTAATGTTCTGCCCACTGCCCTGCACTGCTTCCTAACTCTACTCTCAGGCCCCATCAGGAGCCCTGGAAGGCTTAGGATATACCCTGGGCTTCTGGTCCATTTTGGCACCTGGATCGGAAGAATGGCTGGGTGGGATGGGTTCAGGGCTGCTTGGAGGCAGGCCTTGACTCAGTTGGCCTTGGCCCTCCTACCCTGCAGTTGGCCACAACCAGCTTGGCCAGGGCCTGCTGTGTATCCCAGGCTATAGCTCACAGAGGGAAAAGCTGAGAATTTCCTCATCCTACAGTAGGAGGAAGTGGGAATGAAGATTCCAGTCAATTCTTGTTAATAAATATAATATTTTAAAAGTTGAGAAGGAGGGGAAGGAGCTTTGGAGTTGGGTAGATCTGGGTTTGAATCCCTGCTTGGCCTTAACCAGCTTTGTGAACTTAAGCAAACCATTTCACCTTCCTAAGCCTGAATTTCCTCATCTGTAAAAATCTATGAAGATTTAATGAAATAACATATAAAGTGCATTCTAATGTATATAGGTACTTAATAAATAAATGTTCCATTTTCCATACCATTCATGAAATTCATGTGCCTCTCCCTAAAATATTCCTAATGGAGGGCTTCCAGTCTGTCCCTGAATACCTCTAGTGATGGGGAGCTTACTACTTTCAAAGACCGTTCTTATATTTAGTGAAATCTGTGCCCTTATAACTTCTCCCATTGATCCTGGTTCTACTCTGTGAGGCCTCAGGCACTGGGGGCCATGGGCCTCTCGTTTCCAGGAGCCAACACCCCAGCCATCTGCCTTGGGCACTCTTCTCCAAATACAGGTACCCAAGCTCCTTTTAGAATGTGGTGCCAGGAGCCGAGCCTGGTGGACATGGCCTTTCTGGGCCCAGGAGGAGAGTATTTTCACCTGAACATTTTTCTTCTGGTAAATGGAGCTTGAGATCTCATCAATTTGTTGACTCCGTATGTTAAACATCTCCATCCTTCAAATCCTCTATCCTTTAAAAATATCCCCTGCTACTAAGACAGGTTTTCACTTTCCTGTTCTTCTGTAAATTATTTTAAAAATTTCTTCACTGACAGCATTATAGCAGTAACTGAAAATGAGATGCATTGTTACACAAATTTACCCCCACAAAAACATCACCAGTTTCTTCTGCTCACTGCTCCTTTCTGACCTCTGTCCACATGCATGGTTTAAAAATAGTTTGAATCATGGCATGGATGATACTTTCATACTCTACTTTAAAATTTTTCTTCGTGTGCCACATCCTCTCAAAATAGTGGTCATACAGTATTTCTTTACCTGCACACACCCTGATATAATTACACAGTCTTTCCTCTGGTGCTGGACGTTTAGATTGTTGCCTGCTTTTCATTCGCTATGGCAAATAGTAACGTGATAAACATCTTCATTTAACAAAGAACCAGTAAGCTCCTCCCATGGGTCAGGTGAGGTGCTGGGTGCTGCAGAGCAGAGATGAACAAGGCACCTTAGGCAGGGCACAGTCAGGGAGGCTGACTTGGGAACAAATGTTAGACTAGAGTCTGGTTAGTTCTCCACTGGGAGTTTACATAGACACTGGAGCTTTGCTGTGGGAACTCAGGGAGACCCAGCATGAAGCAATTTGAATCCTATCACAGGACTTAACATTTATCCCTTTGGAATTTCATGTGGCTGGTGTGTTAGGGGTTGGATGGAAGGTGTCTTCCTCTTAGAGAACTGCTAAGTTGTGAAAACTATAAATTTGTATTAAGCACCTCCTGTGTACTGGGATCTGGAGCAGGAAGCAATGAATGAGACCCATCCTTGTCTTTGAATCAATAACAGTCTTCTTGGTAAGACAATGTAGACATCTAAGATGACATGCTAAGAAGTTAGAGGGCTTAGAAAAGCGGGGCATCAGATTGGGGTCTGTCGGGAGGAGTCTCACTTTTTGGAGATTTATAGTCCAAAAGGTTTTAAAAATCTCACACAGCCAGAATTGTTCTGTCTCTGTTTGGCCAGGTGCTTCGTGACTCTGGGACGCTGCCTCCTCTTGATGGAGATGTGGGTTCGGGCTGGGGGAGCATTCAGATTCCTGTTGGCTGAGCCATTCTTGGCCAGAGCTAGTTTAATATTGAATCCAGAGAGTGGTCCAGTCCAGAAATAGGATCCTGGCCTGGGTTGTGGCTGCTGAGCCACTCTTGTTTTATGCTTTGGATCATTTGATAAAAGCAGATAAAAAGCCAGACCAGTAATCTCCATGTGTTGTCACGGAGTCTGTCCCACTTTAAGTATTTACTGCTTGTCTGACAAAACAAGCTGGCTGGGCCTTGGCTGGGCTGCAAGCTGCTGTCCTGGTCAGGAAGTCCTCTCTAAAGCAGTTCCCCCACCCTCTGCTGCCTGAATCCTTGGATGCATGATTTCTTCAGTTCAGCCAACAGATGGGCCATTCAGGGCCAGGCTTGTGCTGGGTGCCGGGGACACAGCAAAGGGTTGGACCTGTCCTCTGCTTTCAGGGAGTCCCAGTCTATGTGGGATAGGCACATAGCAGGCAGTTAGCACGTGATGGGAGGGGCTGGGATCAAAGGCAGCACTGGGGCTATGGAGCCCAGACATCCTGCAGCCTATAAGGTCCACAGGGGCTGGGATGTGTCTGGCTTGTTCTCCGAAGGACCTCCAGTCCCTAGCCTGGCATAGAGTGGATATTCAGTGGGTGTTTGTGATGAATGACTAGGAAGTGTCTGACCCAGCTTTGGTACATGCAGGAGATCTGGTCTTCACTAGCCTTACCTGGTTGACAGATCTCCCCTTCTCTCTGCCCCCTCTTACCCCTCCCCTTCCCTTCTCCCTTTCTTTCATTTCTCCCTCGCTGACCACACGCTGGGATCCAGGCCCTGTGTTGGTAGTGATATACATAGGGGGCTCATGGGCCCACAGGGTGGGCAACATGGAGCTCTGCTCACACTCCACCCCCTTCCTGTGGGTGCCCCACTGTAGCCCCCATGGCACTTGAGTGCACATCTCCGTGTCCAGGTCTCTCACCTGGAAACTCCTCTAGGTGGGGGGAGGATGAGCCCAGGGCCAGGCACAGAGGACATGTTCAGGGACTGTTGGGGACCACATGAGTGGAGGCCCAGATAGAGGTCTGCAGGAGCGCTGAGCTAGGAGGGCCCAGCTTACCTGAAGATTGTCTGGGAGAATGCCCAGGCCTCATCTGTGCCTCAGTTTCCTCATCTATAATGTTTGGTGACTCATGTGGGGGTTAGGAGCGCCAAAGGGGACAATGGGTATGAAAGCACCTTGTAAAATAAAATGTAGTGTTCCTCTTAAAAGTGAGGGGTACAGAAGGAACCCAGACCTGATCCTATCTTTCAGCCCCCAACCCTCACCATACAGAGTCATGCATTGCCCAGTGTTGTGGATACGTTCTGAGACGTGTCGTAGGTGATTTTGTTGTTGTCTGAATATCACAGAGTGTACTTACGCACGCCTAGATGGGATAGCCTGCTGCTCCTTGGCTACAAACCTATACAGCATGGTACTGTACTCAATACTGTAAGCAGCTGTAACACAATGGTAAGTATTTGTGTATCTAAAACATATCTAAACATAGGGCTGGGCATGGTGGCTCACACCTGTAATCCCAGCACTTTGGGAGGCTGAGGCAGGCAGATTATCTGAGGTCAGGAGTTTGAGACCAGCCTGACCAATATGTGAAACCCTGTCTCTACTAAATATACAAAAATTAGCCGGGCATGGTGGCGTGCACCTATAGTCTCAGCCACATGGGAGGGTGAGACAGGAGAATTGCTTGAACCCAGGGGGCAGCAGTTGCAGTGAGCTGAGATCATGCCACTGCACTGCAGCCTGGGTGACAGAGCGAGACTCTGTCTCAAAAAAAGAAAATTATCTAAACATAGGAAAGGTAGAGTAAAAATACAGGATTGTAATCTCATGGGACCACTGATGTTATATATGTTCTGTCATCAACTGAAATGTTACTATGTGGAGCACGAGTGTATGTGTGTATGTGTATGTAGTGACTCTTGATGCTGCTAAGCATCATATAATGCACAGGATGAATCCCACAACAAGGAAGTGTCTACTGCTGTTAAAATATCAGTTCTGAGGTTGAGAAACCCAGGTGTAATTGAAAAGAGTTTAATTGGAGGAGTGGATTATTGTTGCTCTGTGCAATGGAGCAGATGCTGCGGTGGGCAGGCAGGTTTGTTGAGGGCAGAGAGCAGAATGGAACGAGATGAGGCCATAGAGGCCAGAGGGACCAAATAAGGTGGGGCTGTGAGGGCAATGGTAATGAAATGGATTGCTACCCAAGGGCAGTAGAGAACTATTGAAGCCATGTACAATGGTTTGAATGGGGCCTCTCCAAAATTCAGGTGTTGCCAATATAATAGTATTAAGAGATGGGGCCTTTAACAGGTGATTAGGCCATGAGGTCTACGCACTCATTCATGGGATTAAGGCCCTTTTAGAAGAGGCTTAATGCACCTTTCAGCTAGCTTGCCCTTTTTGCTTTCCGCTGCAAGAAGGCCCTCACCAGATGCTGATGCTTTGGTCTTGGACTTCTTAGCCTTCAAAATGCTGTGAAAATAAATTCTGTTCCTTATAAATTACCCAGTGTTAGGTGTTTTATTGTAGCAGTACAAATGAACTGTGAGAGCCTGTGAGTCTGAAAGAGAGATGAGAAGGTGTTTTGAAGCTCGCTCAGTGTCAAGGTTGGGAATGGACCTTGGGGCCAGACCAGGACCAAGGAAGGGCCGGGCTAGAGTTGATGGAGCTTGAGCCATAGGTGAAGCCCCACTCCTCCCTGGCTGAGTGACCTTGGGGATGCACTGCCCTGGTGCAGGCCTCCGTTTCTTCATAGCATGGGAATAATGAGGTCTCCCTCAAGAACTGTGAAACCAGTGTGTGCCACGCAAAAGCAAGGGGCAAGAGAAGTGGTTTGAGTGGGATGTGAGGCCCTCATGGAGCTCATATTGAGAGAAGGAGAGCTTTGGGTTGATACACCTGGAGTGAACTAAGTGCCGTTGTGGGCGTGCAGGTGCCAGTGGCCTTGCAGGGGAAGCTCCGGAGTGGCACACACATGTGCACAGTGCTTTGCAGTTCCCAAAGTGCTTTTAGTCCTTCGAATCTCTTTTATTCTCATTACAGCCCTGCAAGTATACATTATCAACATTTTCACCAAGAAAAACTGAACCTCAAATTAAGACACTAGGAGAAGGAGGTTCCCTTGTAACGAATGAATGAATGAAGTAGTGTAGGGATGAGCAGCACAGTGAATGGGCATGAAAGGAGATGATGTTCTGAAGACAAAGATGAAACAGCTGCAGGGTCATCTTGGAAGAAGGCTGGTCCCTGGTTCTAGGGCAGGTTGAACCTGTGAGGAGGGAGGGGTGAGATCACTAAGAAAGGAGGCATTAGGAGCACAGCAGAGTTTGACTTCATCACCCCTGCCCTGCTGGCTCCCCAGCCTGGCCCACAGACCTGCCGATGGGAAGGGATTTGGTGAGTAGAGGGTGTGAGGTGCATGGGATTATTTCTGCCATCCAGGGGCTTGTCTGGGCTCACTGCCTCTCTCTGCTGTGTTTCTGGTGGTTTTGGGGAAAAGAACTCAGGCTTCAAATTTGCCAGGCCTGGCTTTGGATCCCCAAGAGTGGGCAGAGTGGGGATGGGAGGTGGGGTTGAAGATGAGATTAGAGAGGAGGCAAGCCAGACCTTGAAGGGACCTGAGAGCTGCTTCTGATACCTGGGCTCTTTGTCAGCCACTGGAATTTGGGGACTCTAAATTAGGGTGATTGGTCTGGTCCCTGACTAAGCAAGTGTCTAATCTAGTGGGACCTGGGATTCCATCCTGAAAGCTATCAGTTACAGGCACAGGCATCAGAGTCAGCCAGACCAGCAAATGCTTATTTCACCTCCTACTAGCTGAGCCCAGTTTTCCTTATCTGCAGGTTAGGGAAATAACCAACCTGCATCTGATTGAGAAAAGATAGCTGCTGTCCAGGTCGTGTTTGTGAAGCACTAGCCCTGGCACATAGCAGGTGCTCAGTTAACAGGTGACTGTATGTTCAGCAGTGAGGGATGGCAGAGTATAGTGTTGAGACCAGAGGTCCTTGAGCCAGCTAGTGCAGGTTCAAAGCCTGGCTTCACCACTTCCTGGCTGTGTAACCTCGTGCATTCTGGTTAGCCCTTGATGCTTCCTACCTCCCACTTTTTAAATTTGTGACTATGAGCAAAGCAGTACTGACCTCATAGGATTGTCATGAGGATTAAATGAGTTAATACCCATTTTCTCTTTCCCTGTTCTCCTTTAAATCTACTCCACTTGGGCTCTCATCCCATCATGCCACCAAAATTAAGGTCCCCAGGGCGTTCGATGTTGCTGGATCCAAGGGTCAGTTCTTAGGCGTCATTGTATTTGACCTTTCAGCAGTAGCTGATACAGACACTCACTCCCTCCTTAAAATACTTTGTTTGCTTGAAGGTCACCTCTTGGTTCTCCTACCTCCTTGATAGCTGCTTCTCACTCACTTCTGCTGATTCTTCGTCTATAAGTACCCATGCCCCAGGGTTTGTATCTGTCTATTCAAGCTCTTTATTTAAAGAGACAGGGTCTAGCTATGCTGCCCAGGCTGGAGTGCAGTGGCATGATCATAGCTCACTGCAGCATCGAACACCTGGGCTCAAGCGATCCTCCTCCCTCAGCCTCCTGAGTAGCTGGGATTACAGGTGTGAGCCACTGCACCTAGCTGTTAGACTTGCTGTCTTGATCTCATCTACACTGATGTCTTTGGATATCATGTGGTAGATCCAAAATTGATACTTCCATTTTGGACCTCACCTCCGTACTTTACACTGCTTCTCTTTTCAGTTGGATGTCTAAAAGATCTCCAACTTAACACATCCAAAATGAACCCCTGGCATCCCCAACATATACCTCCCCCAGTCTTCCCCATGTTCCTACTAGTTGCCCAGGCCAGAAGCTTTGGAGTCCCCTTGTCTCTTCTCTCCCCTATGCATCTAAAGCAGCCCCAAATCTTGCTCTTTCCTGACAACACAGGCCAAATCTGACCCATTTTTGTCATTTCCCTGCTATCATCCTGGCCCAAGCTAGCACCATTCTTGCTTGGATTATGGCAGTGCTGCCTCCTGTCTGGCCTCCCTGCTATATAGGCTCTCTCGGAACCCTCCAGTGGCTGCGATCTCACAAAATTGAAAGCCACAGTCCTTACTTACAATGGCAGCAGTGCCCCCCTCGCCCCATTGCTCACTCTGGCCTCATTTTGTACTGCCCTCCCCCTCCTCCTGCCACAGAGGCCTCCTTGCTCACCCTCACACACCATCTGTGCTCTTGCCCCAGGGCCTTTGCACTTTTTGGTCCCTTTGCCTGGAATACTGTCCCCCAAGAAAACCTCCTGGCATGCTCCCTCGCTCCTTCAGGTCTTCGCTCAGCCACCAGCCTCTTGGAGTCTTCCCTGACCAACTTGCTTTAAATTGCACCCCACCCCCAGGCCCCAGCTTCCTTGCCTGCTTTGTTTTTCTCCACTGCACATACCACCAACTGATGGGTGCAACTATTCGTTTGTTTGCTGTTTATGTTACTAAAGTGTCAGCTCTGTGAGGGCAGGGGTTTCTGTTTGCTCACTGCTCTCTATCCCCAGGGCCTAGAATGGTGCCTGGCACATAGTAGAAGCTGAGTAACTGTGCCTTAAATGAAAACTACTTAGAACTTTGCCCATATTGAATGCTAAATACTTTTCCATTGTTATGGTTGTCTGCATGTGATGATGACATTGGAGGCAAGTGCTCTTTGCAAACAATACAAATTCAGAGAATTCATATGTCCATTTGATAAATATTTAATGAGCATTGCCATATAGCAGGTGCTGGACAATAATCAGCAGTACATCGTACTCTGACTCTGCCTCTGGTGTAGGAAGCATCCGGTAGGGCTTCCTGGAGGGGGTGTGTGGGAGGCAGGATGCTCTAGGCTAGGGGCCAGCAGGTGCAGTGTGGGATTAATACTCACCATGGTAGAGGGAGTGACTTGGTCTCTGCTGGTGTGGGGTTTGGGGTGGGGGCACACCAGAATCTCTGATGTGCCAGGCTTTCCCCTGGAAGTGGGCACCGCATGGATCCTGTCAGGGTTATTTTCGATTCTAGCTGGCTAGGGCCAGACTCCCTGCAGAGTGGGTTCTGGGTTGCCCTCATTTTCTGAGTTGGATTCTCTGCCACCTTCCAGATCATTTGGGCAAGAGCAGTCAGGAGGGGAGTCAGTGAGAAGGGAGGGGTGGCTTGGGATAGAGCCCCCCGGCTAGTCTTTCCCGGTTCCCTCGAGGCGCCTGGAGCCACATCAGAGGAGCCTTTTCTGAGGATGTGAGCCATAAATCCCATAAATCCTGGCTCCTTGTAAAGGCTATTGCCTGGGGCTGCCCCGCCGCTGGCCTGGAGGGAGCCGTGGCTCAGCCTTGGAACGTTTTGTCCTGACCCCGAGAGAGACCTCCATGGAGCTTAGGCAGCCAGTGTTCCCCGGGCTCCAGTGAAGTGCCAGAGTTGGCCAGCGACTCACCAGTGTTTGCTCCTCCAACTGCCCCAACCACCCTTCCAGAAAGGGATGGCTCACTCCACAGGACAGGTGAGGGAGCTGTGGCACACAGCCGTGAAGGGCAATGAGGCAGGGTCACGGAGCCCAGCTTGGGGTTCTCCCCTCTGGATTCTAGAGGAGGGTGCCCCAGCTGGTGGGGTGAAGGGGCCTCTGTATCTGTCCAGCGGCACAGTTGTGCCTGGAGTGGTCTTTGGATGAAATGAGATAACTCACGGAAAGTGCTCAGCATGGCCCCTGGCACCCAGGAGCCGTTCGCTTGCCGTCTGTGGCCCCTCCTCAGCCTTGGCAGCCCCCAGGCCTCTGATATGGGTTTGGTTCACTTCCGTGTAATCAGAACTCACTGATGCCTGCCTGCTGTGGGCCCAGCCCTGTACCGGAATTTAGAAACCTAGAAAAGAACAAGAAGATCCAAGCCCTGAGTTATTCACCTGGCTGTGGGAGGCAGGCCAAGTGTGCAGATGGGGCTGGGGCCACACAGGCTGAGATGGGAGGTGCTGGGGGTCTGGACTAGGGTGGTGGCAGTGGTCATGGAGCTAGTGGGAGAGCTGTGACAGACACTTGGGAGTGGCCATGGAGCTCAGTGGGAGAGCTGCGACAGATGCTTGGGTGATGGAAGAGGCCATTCATGGGCTCTGGATTGCCAGTGAATCTATGAGTTCAGATCCTGGCTCCAGTGCTTATCAGCTGTGTGACCTTGGGCAGTTACCTTTTCTGTGCATCAGCTTCCCCATCTATAAAATGGGGGTGTACAGTGTTTGCTTTATAGCGCCGGGGAGATGGTCTCTGTAAAGGACTTAGAACAGTCTCAGCCCACATTGGTGCTCAGTAAGCATTAGTTGTCACTATTATGGGTGACTGGTTGGATGGGGGAGTAAGGCAGAGGACGATGCTCTGATTAGAGGTGGGGAAGGAGGCATAGGTTTGGAGGTGAGGGTGGGAGGGATAATTAGCTCAGCCTGGCTGGATCTGGGGCACCTGATTACAATGGCAATGTGGCAGCCCTTATGGAGTTGGCTAAGCCTGTTAGAAACTGCCCCCTGTAGCTGCCTCCAAACCAGGAGGCTGACGGCCCACATGTGATGGGTTTGCCCTCAGGATCCACGCTTGATTATTTTTGGCCACTTGGGGTCCCCACAGCAGGAGATGGGAGAACAGCCCTCATCATCATCATCCTTGCCGCCATCATCATCATGATAATGGCAATGATAACAACTACCATTTGTGCTGGGATTTACATTTTACAAAGTGCGTTCCCATCCATTACCTCATTGGGAACACATGGTTTCAATAGACGGCAAGGGATGCATTTCTCTTGGGTCCTGCGGGGGCCCACTCTTCAGAAAGCCTGTTTCGAATGATGATGATAATGCTGCATGTTTTTATAGTGCTTTGCCGAGTGTCCTCGCTGTGGCTCCTCACACGGCACATCAACCAGGGAAGAACATCCCCTGCGACAGATGAACGTCTGAGGCCCCAAGAATGCCACCAACTTGCCTGGGGTCTTCCAGCTTGTGAGGCCTGGACTTAAGAGGGCTTTGTTTTCCGTTAAGCCTTTTCGCAGGGGGCAGGCCTCCCTTCTGTAGCAGCAGTTCAGCCCCTTGATTACATACCTCTGGGGATAGGAAGCTCACTCCCTCCCTGTGTTGAGCAGAGGTCTGTCACCCCAGCCCCAATCTATGGCCCTCCATCCCTCCCTGCACTGGTCCTAGCTCTTGTTTGGAGACACAGCCCAGCGGAGACCTCAGGACAGGAAGTTTATCTTCCCTGTTGGCAGTCCTGGGTTGAATGACTCTTCACTGAGTTCTCATCTGGTGGTAGCCAACCTCCCTGTCCCCAGTCCTGATCTGTAGTGTTGTGTCTGTCCCACCATCCCTGCTACTTGCCGTGCGGTAGGCACATCCTGGGGCCACCCCAGAGAGGGGCAGCATAGAGGTCCCACAGGGAGCCGTGGGGAGGAGGAGTCTCGGGTGGCTGCTGGAGGCCTGGGTCCTGCTTGACCTTAAGGAGTCAGCGCCTTTCTAGGCCTCCTCGAATCAGGCCTTCAGGGTCCTTCAGCAGCCCAGAAACTCTATCACGTCCTCCCCACGCCTCCCCTTTAAGAGATTTCCAACTGTGTGGGCCTCTGGAGTGGTCTAGGGAAGTCTAGAAGACCAGGCATTTGGGGAGTTTTCGATGTTGGGGGATTGTTTCTAATAAAAACCAATTAGGCTTTTTGAAAATCTTGTTCCAGGACAAAGCCCAAATGCATCACTAGGCAAATAAGCCGTGTGATGGGCCCAGCCTGCCTCTTAACTCCTCCTCTGCCTTCTATCCTGGATGTGCTATTTACCTTAGTCTCCCTGTACCTCATCCCCACTGCCCAGCTCAAGTGCCCCCTCCTCCAAGAAGCCTTCCCTGACTGTCTCGACTGGGTGAGGGCCTTTTCTGTCACTAACCGTTTGCTTACCTGTCCTCCCAACAGGCAGGGACCCCCACCTGTGGACCTCATTCCCAAGAAGCATTAGCATTTCTCACTTTGCACCTTCTCCTGATTGTGTCCTATGAGCCAGGCAGTGCTGAGACATACATACATGGATGTGTATATGTGTCTATCTTGCTCAGTCCTCCAACCTTGTTAAGGGGACACTGCCCAAGGCCACTCAGTGGACGGGTGGTGGATGATTCCAACATGGGTCTGCCAGCACACATCCCATCCTGCATGGCCACCTCCCCCTGTGGTGAATCCTGTCTTGGCTGCTGACTGTGGTCCACCCTGCCCAGCTGGGAGAGTCAGCTCGGCTGGTGGGCTACACTTCGATTTGCAGTGACTCCCTGCTCTCTTTGTAGTCTCTCCTCCCTGCTGAGCCCTGAAGGTACACACTCCCATAAACCTGAGCACCAGGAGAGCCCCCATCCAGCCAGATAGCAAGCTGAGAGGGAGAAGGTCTAGGCTGAGCTGTGGCTCAAGGGTCCATGTCTGTATGCTGCCCCAGGGGCTGGCCTTTTCCCTCCTCCCTGCCCCAGTCAGGCTGACCCTGACTCTCCCCTTTTCTCCACCCCAGGCCAGGGATCTGGTTCAAGGGGACTGTAGTCCACGTCCTGTCCTCCTCTACCCTTCTTCAGCTTAGGGTCCCTACAAAGCTGCTCTAGGGTAGAGTGTAGAATGTGGGCTCAAGTTTCTCTTGTGTCACTTACTAGTGTGACCCAGGGCCAGTCTTGGAGCTAGCTTCCTTGGGTGCAAATGGGGCACGCTGTCCTCATCTCTGAGTTGCTCTGACATTCAGGGCCTGATGCCCTGCCTGGCACATAATACGTGCTGGATGAATAAATGCCCCTTACTCCACCCAGAAAGCAGCTCCTTCCTTGTGGCAGAGGGAGGATGGCTGGGGCAAGGGAGGCATGGGTGGAGGTGGGGGTGAAATGAGCTCATCTTGCAAGGGTCTGCAAGATGGAAATGAGGCAGTGGATGCCTAGCCTCCCCTAAGCAAGGCCCTGATGCTTTTCGGATGTTCCCCCATTGAGGTGTCTGGAAAAGGGCTGCCAACAAGGTGGCTCCCCAACCTGGAGAATGTCTGGGAAAGCCCAGAGTAGACTCAAAGAACTGTTGAGCTGGCCGGGACCTTTGTGACCACGGAGCCAAATTGCTCACTTTAGATGAAGCAAAGGGGCTCGAGAGGGAAAGAGCCTTACCCAAGGCCACCCAGCCAGGAGGGAGCAGGGCAGGGGCCTTTTTGTTCCAGTGCCTCAAACAGTTAAAAAGAAAAAGTCAACATCTACCTTTATTGAGCCCTTGAAGCACAATGGGATGTTCTAACTACTCTTATCTCTTTCATCTCATTAATCCTCACATAGACCCACTGAGGTGGGATCTGTTACTATTTCTATTTTGCAGATGAGGAAACTGAGGCTCAATGTAGATGAACAGCTTTCCCAGGGTGGCACCGCTGGTGGGGGTGGGTCCAGGCGCTCAGCCCCTTCTCAGTGCTGCAGAGCCTTGGGGATTAGTATTCAGCATCAGTGAGTGGGGTCCAGGTGTGGCCCCCTCACAAACATTATTGGCTCTGGGTCTGCTGAGGAGGGCCTGTGTGGAGTGGTGTCCTGACTGGGAGCAGGGAGACCTGGGTGCCAGTCTTGGTCTGTCACCAACTCACCATGTGACCTTGAGGAAGTCCTTTGGCTTCTCTGGGCCTCAGTTTCCCTGTGGATACAATGAAGAAGACTGAAAGACCCTCCAGCCTTGACATTCTCTAATCTAAGAGGTTACCCAGTTGCTGAATGGACAACTAGTGATGGGCATCTCACTACCTCTCTAGGCAGCTCACCCCAGGGCTGGAAAGCTCTCCTCCTGCAGAGCCGAGCCACCTGAGTGCCCGTGAGCTTCTCTGGACCCTGTTCCCAATTGCCCTCATCTCATGCTCCCTCCTGGAATGTGACAGCAAGTCCAGGCCTGCTCTTGACTGGAGCTTTGGAAATGTTTCCTTCCCTTCCTGGCCTCCTTGCTTGCAGAGCCATTCTTCAGGCTCAGAGCACTCAGAGGGCTTCAGGGTCTGGGCTATTCCCCAGCACCCTCTGAGGCCCAGATGGGTGTACCTGGATATCAGTAAACGCTGCTGTGCCAAGTACTTACGGCATCGCCCCTGCCACGATCCGCATTCATAGAAGGGGAGACTCTGGGGTCATGCGGCCAGGGCATTGCTACCCCCTTGGCCCCTTGGTGCATTCTTTGGGCCCCTCAGACCTTCCTCCTGCCTGCTGTGCCCCCCACCTCCCCACTCATTCTTCCTGACAACCAGCTTCTTTGTGCCTACTCTGGGTGGGGCCCTGTATTGGGGGAGAGACAGGTAGGCCAGTTATGATGCCACCGTAGAGGACAAGCTGACCCTTGTCCTCTACACCCCTACCTCCTGCTGTGCACCATGGATGCAGCAGTGAGTGGCTGACAGGGAGCCAGGCATGTGAGCAGCACCAGTGCAGTCAGGCTAGTGGGAGTGCAAGGGGCAGCTTCGGCCCAGAGGACCCACCTGAGGTGCTACTGGAAGAGGAGACTCTGACATCAGCATGGGCTTCCTCCACCAGGAAGTCCTCCCTGACTTTCCAGGCCCCAGTAGCCTTTCTCTTCCCTGACCTTGAGCCCATAATGACTGCTGTGTTGCCTGACAGAATTCTTTGTTGGAATTCAGCTTTTCATGTTTTCCTTTCCTGTAGACTGCTTAGGGCCAGGATCTGCACTGAACTTCTGGCGTCATGCATTTGTTATTTCATTAACGTATTCAATAAAACCCTGTTGAACTTTGTGCCAGGTACTGTGTTAGCACAGGGCAGACAAATCAGGAGCCTCTGTCCCTTCCTCAAGCTGCTTCCCAGACTAGTGTATAATAAAGATCAGGTGTATAGTAGCAATATAGGATGGTGAAGGCTAAAAGGGTCCATAGGAGAGAGCCAATAAATGCCCTGGATTTTAGCTGGGCCCTGAAGGATGCATAGGAGTTGGCTGAGCAGATGCCAGGGAGCAGTGAATTAGGCAGAGGGAACAGCATGTACAACAGCATGGGGGCCTCTGAAGAGTGTGCTCCATCTGGGGAATGGTGAGCATAGGGGTGGATAGGGGAGTGGTGGGTGCGGTGGCTGGAGGGGTGATCAAGACCCCACAGGGCTTTGAGCACCAGCAAGGTTGCTGGAGACCAGGTGGAATGTGGCTAGTAGGGGACCAGACAGGAAGTTGAGAGCCCAGGCTGAGAGGATGAGGCTGAAAGGGAGAGAACAGAGAGGGTGCAGAGAAGGGGCAAGGGTGGATGATCTGCTTAACAGCCTAGCCCAAAACTGAGTGGTTTCAATCACCCAACATTTCACCAGATCTCACAATTTTTTGAGTCAGGAATTTGCTGTCAGGCTCTTCCTGGTGACCCTTGTGTTCCTCTTGCAATCAACTGGGGTCCCTTTGGTGGCAGTCAGCTGATGGCTCTCTGGTTGGAGGGGCAAGACACACAGCTCTTAGGATGGTGCATGGGTGGGGGCAACTGAAGGCTGGGCTGGACCCGGTCCTCTCCCCCTCCACATAGCCTTGTGGATGCGTCCGGCAGGGGCATCAGGCTTCTCACGTGGTAGCTCAGGGCTCCAGGAAACCAAGAGGGAAGCTGCCAGTCCTTATAAAGGCAGGCTCATAACAGGCACAGTGCTCCTTCCACATTCTGCTCCATCCGCCAAAGCAGTCACAGGCCACACCAGACCCAAGGGGCGGGGGAACAGACCAACCTCTTAATGGGAATAGTGTCAAATCTGTGGTCATCTTAATCCCTCTTACCCATCTCCCTTGGAGATCTGAGTCCTCTGAAGACTTGGGTGGTGGAATATACAGGTGCTGGGTGCCAGCCACTTGGTAAAGAAAGCTCTGTGGCATGGATTTGAGTCTCTGACCTATTAGCATACCCCTCAACCACTGACCCATTACATACACCTGAGCCTCTAGCTTATTAGCATATGTTGAGCTCATTAAGAGTTTAAGCACACCTGTTTAATGGCTGTGCCCAGCCACCAGCACACACTAAAAGGCCCCCGGTGCATTAGCCCGGGGGTGGCAAACAGGGACCCAGCTTCAGCCACTTGCTGTCTATGAGTGATGTCTCCTTTGTCAAAGGTGTGGGGACTGTGATATCGCTGTCCCTCAGCTCATTGATTGTGTTCCTCTCTCCTGCACCCTCCGGACCTCTGCAGTTATGAGGATCCAGCCACAGCTCTGGTCTAGCTTAGACCCAGAGGACTAGCAGATTTGCACGTACCTGTCTGCGGTAGCCTGGCGGCATGCCTCTGCCCCTAACTGACTGCCACACAGTGGGGCCTGCAGCCTAGTGGCACCTTGGGCTTTGGCTGGACTGGCCCTCCGGTACTGCCAGTGCTAACGCCCACCTTTATCAGCCTCACAACACATTCCTTAACTTCACCATCTCCCCCTGGCCCTCTCCGACCCCTTTCTCAACCACGGAAGGTTTAATTGTTGCAAATGGAATCCGTGTTCTACAGAAGTCCAATAAATCTGCAGTCTGTCTTCCTGGTAATCCATCACAGATTGCAAATCGCACGAGGAGAAGTCTATAAGATGTGTTCTTCATGTCTAGTATGTTGGGTTATTTTCATGTCTTGTGGTTTGAATTTGGCCACTGTCATTTTAGAGGAATTTCCTGCCATCTGTGTTCAATTGAATTTTCTCACAGATTTGTGCTTGCTTGTAAATACTAGAGGCTGGCAGAAAGGGGAGCTTTGTTCTTGGTGACATTTCAGAAAGCCGTTAATGCAGCCTCCCCGGCTGATCTGCAGCTTGGCCAGGAGGAGGTCTCAGGTGAGGAGAAGATGCAGACTCCTGATGAGAGGCGAGGGTTTCACCTTAGGATGGGGCACTCCCCTCTGGGGTGGAGTGGAATGGGGTGGTGTGCCTGTGAGCCGCAACTCCCCTTCTGCCTCCCTCCCTGTTTGGGGCTCTGCTTCCCTAGGTGCATCTGCTGATTATGAGGTGTGTGAGCCTTTGCCCCGTGCTTCCTCTTTTCCTCTTCCACTGGGGGCAGGAGGATGAGGAAGCTGAGAGCCAACCCCCCTTCCCCAGTTGGCCAGATCCCAGCAGTATATACTGGGCTGAGCCCCTGGTGATGGGGAGAGGCCACTGGCCATGGGACTAGGCATCTGGTGTCCTGGGTTTGGGCCCAAGCTCTAATTCTATCTGGGATCTTAGACAAACCACTTTACTCCCAGAGCCTCAGTGTCTCTTGCTGTAAAATGGAATATTGATCCCTACCTTGGTGCTTGTTGGAAAGATTAAGTGATGATATGCAGCTCGTGGTGCCTCAACCTGAGGTTGGGCCCAAGCAGTGTGGATAAATAAACAGGTGTAACAAGTAAACCAGCACAAGGTTATTGCCTGCCTGCTGTGTGCCAGACCCCCATGTAGGCAAGGGAAATAAGATGAATAAGAAAGATGTGGTTCTCATCCTCGAGTTCACTGTGTGGAGCAGCGATGGCTCAGCTGGGGGTGCCCAGAACGTCTGTGGGGTGGGGGAAGAAATATTAGAATGCGATTCTTATCTGGTGCATCTCACTCTTGGTATAATAATGGTGATGAGCCTCCATGTGAGGCACTGTTCTGAGCACTGCACATGTTTGTAACTCACTTGGTCTTCACAATGACTGTATGAGATATGTGGTTTTTACAAATGAGGAAACTGAGACACGGAGAACTTCCTTGCACCCCAAGGCCATATAACTAGCATGTGGTAGAATGCATTTGGTTATATATACATAGTTAAATTATCAATGAATACATTTTCTCCAGATTGGGATATGAGATCAAAAAAGTTGGAGACAACTCGTCTAGAGCAGTGATTATCAAACCTCAGTGTGCATAAGAAACATTTAGGGAAGGGGTTAAAATGCAGATTCCTCACCCTCTGGGGGGTTACAGGAGGTTTTTAAGTAAGGTGTCAGGTGAGAAAGGAACACCTGGGCATTCCTACATCTGAAGGTACAGGTTAGCCATTTTCAGCCTCAGTTTCCTCACCTAAAAAATGAGGACAGGTCCTCCTGCCTGGCCAGCCTCTGGGGTGTGTGAGCGTCACACTGGCCCTGTGCACTAGGCCCCGTCACCTGCTCCAAGACATAGCTCCTCATCATCAGCATTTCCTTTCTGTTGAGTCATCCCCATCCCCATGTAAGCAAGCTGATGTTTCTACCATTTTACAAACCAAAACAAACCTCTCAACCCACTTCCCTCTTCAGAGACTGCCTTCGTTCCTTTCCTTTCCTTTTGAGCAAAACTCTTGGAAAGAGTTAGCTGTACTTTTGGTCCCATTTCTCTCTCTCCATTTTTCTCGGAGCCCTGGCTTGCTGGGCGTTCACATCTGTAGCGGCACGACGCTGCTCCTAGGAGGATCGCTGGAGGGCTGGCCGGGCTGCAGTCGCCTCAGTCCTGGGACCCTCAGTGCATTTGCCAGGGCTCGCTCCCTCCTCCCTGATGTGTCTCATCACTTTGTTCTCCAGACACTGCGCTCTCCGAGTTTCCCCCTCCGCTTCTTCCCAGTCCCCGTTCTGGTTCCCCACCATCTCACTGACCTTTCTTTCTCTCAATCTCATCCAGGCCGTGGCTTTGAAGAACGCCCATTTGTTGATGACTCCCAAATTTCTATGCCCATCTGGATCTTCCCCGGAACTCAGACTTGCCTGTCTGCCTGCCATCCCTGTGTCTCCATGTGGACACCCAGGCGGCACCCCAGATTTAATGTGTTCAGAGCTGGGGCTGTTCCGGCCCCCGACCTGCTCCTCTCACCGCCTATGGCTCCTCCATCCCCCTGGCCTCTGTGTTCTGACTTCGCAGGTTGCTTGCTCTCCACACGAATAGTAGAGATAGTGTGGAATAGTAGTTCCACATGATCTTGTTGATCTCGTTCGCTGCTCTGTCCCAAGTACCTAGAACCGTGCCTGGCACAGAGGAGTGCTCAATAAGTATTTGTTGAAGGGAAGGGTGGATGTGTCAGGATCTGGGAAATTGTGAAGTGCCAGGCTCAACTGTGCAGGTGATCAGCATTGCTGGTATGCTGAGGTCTTGTGTGTACTGGTCTCAGTCCCAAGCTAGGTGGAATTTGGCACTGCCCCTCTCACAGCCTCCTGTGTCTGCCCCATGGTGGGGGATGGCAGTGCTTTGACTGGGAACCCCTTAGTGAAAACTAACCTGCCGGTCCTGTGGCACCCTGTTCCTTAGGGTCTGGTCCAGGTGGATACTTCTCCTTCGGGAGCACTTCTTCCTCCTCACCCACTGCTGGCAGCCTGTAGGGTGGGGGCCAGAGGAGGGCCAGGGATCAGGAGATGCATGGGGAGGGCGGGGATGGTGGAGGGCCAGTGACTGGGGTCACAGCTGACCTCAGGCCACACCCCCTTTCAGCAGGGATGTCTGTCTCACCCTGATCCTCTCACTGCTTACCAGCAGTGTCTCCCTGGATAAAACATCTGCAGGCACACCTGTGCCGCAGGAAGAAGGAATTCACATGGCGATCAGGAAGACAGGCAGTGGGGTGAGGGGGAGGAGGGAAGGAAAGAAAGAAGAGGTAGAGGCCAAGAGGAGATCTGGGTAAAGATACCCACCTGCAGAGAAAAACAGAATGAGCTAGAGAACGTTAGAGACTTGCAGAAAGAGACCACGAGACAGAACAGAGGAACGCAGACAGAGAGAAATAGACAGCGAGTGGAGAGGATGGAGACTTGGGCAGGGGTCGCCGGGCTGTGATGCATGTTGTGGATAGGTACTTCCACTGGGGGCCCTGAGAGGACTGTGGGCCTGAGTCTCTTGGGGACAAGGCACACCAAACCATGGGAAGAGGAGGAACCAAAACCTTGAGATTTGTCTTCATTCATTCGTTTGTCCCCATCTATATGTCCATCCATCTGCTTCTTTACCAGTCTAGCATTTGCTAAGCTCCCATCAGTGCCAAGCAATATCCCCAGCCACTTTTTCTTTCTCCTTTGCTTCGTTCAGGCTTGATGGTGCTCAGGACCTCTGCACTTACCCAGTCCGACCTCCAGCCTGGGTTTGTCTCTTTGGGCCCACAGGGCCTGCCCACAGGAGATGCACCATCAGAATGTGTTGAGAGACAGACATCAGAAGGAAGCGCTGAGCCTCCTGTGTGTGCAGCAAGCCTCATTCTCTTCTGTTTTCTCAGCTGATCTTCTTGGCCGCCCTGGGCAGGAGTTGCTTTCTCATCATCCCCACTTGCAGATGAGGAAATGGAAGCTCAGTGAGATGTTCAATGGCTTTCCCAGGACCACATGGCCAGGGTGGGGCTGAAGTTGTCATGCCCCCTGCCTCATTTTTAGGGGCCTTAGCTGGTCCTCATGTCATCCTAGGACTGGCCCCAGGGTCCAGGTCCTCTATGTCACCTTGGATCTTGGTTTTAGGAGGGTGACTGAGGAGGCTTGTGTTGCACAGGGACCGAGGAGCCTCGGGAAACACATGGAAGAGATCATTGAGGACTCATTCGTTTATCAACTAACCTTCACTGAGTTGTGGTCTGCTCCCAGCCTGGCTGGGCACTGAGGACTCAGATGAGTCAGACACTATCCCTGCCCTCCAGGGGCTCATGGTCATAGGGCCCAGGGACATGGACATATAAACTGTTCATCCCAGAATGGTTTGGGGCTTCCAGAGATCCCCTGGCCACCATCTCATCCCACCCTCTTTTCTGGTCAGCAGTGTCTGGAGTGGCCAGCAGATGAGGGCATGCCTTCAGGTATGGCAGGTGGAGGACTCACCCCTGGGCCTGAGATCTAAGCCTCCTTCCCCCACTGAGCTCCCATAGAAGGCTGTACCTCCTACTCTAGCAAGCTGGTTTTCCACTGAGAGCCGCGGCCAACTCATCTCCACATCCTCAGCACAGAGCTGGCACAGAAGGGAAGAAAGGGGCCCAACCTTTGATGATCATCTGCTGTGTGCTAAGCATGTGAGAGGCTCATTACATACAGGGACACACAGAATTCACAGAACAGCCCGTTTTACAGATGAAGACACTGAGCTAGGAAGTGCATATCTGAGATTTAAACCCTGGTCTTTCGGACTCTGAATCCTGTAGTCTTCTGCCTCCGCCAGCTGTCCCACAGTGGGTGTACTGTCAATGCTTAGTACTTGCTGCCTGCATAACTCTGGAGAGGCCTTGAGGACGTGCATTTGTCTCATTCACCCTGAGTGCCTTCCACCCCTCAATACTCAGGTAGAGCCCAGGCCTTGGGGTGCCCCGCTTGTCAATTGCTTTTTTTTTTTTTTTTTTGAGACAAGATCTTCGTCTGTTGCCCAGTCTGGAGTGCAGTGGCACGAACATGGCTCACTGCAGCCTCAAGCTCCTGGGCTCAAGCGATCCTTCCACCTCAGCCCCCTGAGTAGCTAGGACTACAGGTGTGTGCCACCATGCCCAGCTAATTTTTATTTTTTGTAGAGACAGGGTGTCACTATGTTGCCCAGGCTGGTCTCAAACTCTTGGCCTCAAACAGTCCTCCTGCCTTCACCTCCCAGAGTGCTGGAATTACAGATGTGAGGCCACTGTGCCTGGCCTCAGCTGATTATTGAACAAAAGGATGACAGTGATCCACTCACCAGCCCCTTGGCACCCAAGAGGCAGTCGCCCCCCCAGACCCACCTGAAGGTACTGTCACAGGGATTTGGGTCTCAAGTTTTGTGGGATCTGCACTGGTTTGTGTTTCAGAAGAACACTGGGAAAATGTTCTTGGAAATTTTGTGGTTACTCTTGTGTTTTTGTTTAGGCAGGGCTGGCAGTAGGAGCCCTTATTAGTATCAGTTTGGAAAAAATAGCAAGGCATTCACGGCCAACTGCTTAATAGTTTTCATTGAATTAATTTTAAAATGCGAACCTTGTTTCCCTTACTTAATAGTAGAAAACGACTTCCACATTCTGCCCAGTAACAACTCCAGTTACGGGCTCTCCACAAACAATGTGCACATGAAAGGCATCGCTCTGCCCATATGTGGAATGAATAATTTTGTGCAAACTATTTATTATAAGCATACGATGCACTTAAACTTTTTTTAATTTTTATTTTTTACTGTCGTGGTGACAGATCTAGGCCAGAACTGGACTGTTAAACGGCTCAGACTCTGGCCTCTCAGACTGTGAAAAAAATGGACTAGCATTTTAGAAACGCCACAGGGCTAGAAGGAAATTGTTAACTCATTTGGCCCAACATCCAGGGCTCCCTGGGCCAGTGTTCGATGCCTGAGAGAGGATGGTGAGGAGGTTTTATTAGAGGCTGCACTAATTAGGCCAGTGCCAGCCAAAACTAGGTGTAAGCCTGAGGAGAGAATTGCAGTGGGCAGACGGGGTGAGATCCCAGGACTGGGGGAGCGTCCTGATTCACCTATTCGTTCCTTCCGCCATCTCTTTAGTCTGTAATTACCGGAGACCTGCCTTTGTTCCCCATGCTGAAATAAGAAAGGAATATCTATTTTATTCTAGCTTTGACAGAGCAGTGCATCCCCTACTCGCCTCATGACCCTACCAAGCCTTTCCTAAAGTGTGGTCTTTTTTTTTTTTTTTTTTGAGATGAAGTCTCACTCTGTTGCCCAGGTTGGAGTGCAATGGCGTGATCTTGGCTCACTGCAACCTCATCCTCCCAGGTTCAAGCAATTCTCCTGCCTTAGCTTCCCATGTAGCTGAGACTAGAGGCGTGTGCCACCACGCCTGTCTAATTTTTGTGTTTTTAGTAGAGACGTGGTTTCGCCATGTTGGCCAGGCTGGTCTTGAACTCCTGACTTCAGGTGATCCACCTGCCTCAGCCTCCCAAAGTGCTTTGATTACAGGTGTGAGCCACCTCGCCCGGCCAAGTGTGGTCTTTTTTATGGATTTATGTTTTTAACCTTGAATGCATAGAGTTGGATCAAGCACAGTTACTGGTTTGTGTCACTGCCTTTGGTCCATTAATGAGCCCACCTATCTATTTCTCCGTCTGGATTATCACCCCCACCCCTGTTTCAATATAATTAACCACCCAAACTGTGACTTGAACACTAACAAAATACATTTATGCATGTACTGCCCCTATCTTGTCTCCCTGCTGCCCATCTGGAGGTGATCACTTTACTCAATTTTGTTTCTGTGATTCTATGTTGATTTTACTTGTTGTTGAAGTAAATCTTACACAGTTGACCCTTGAACAGCACAGGGGTTGGGGTGCTGAGAGCCCCGGTATAGTCAAAAATCTGCATATAACTTTTGACTGTCCAAAAACTTAACTGCTAATGACCTACTGTTGATCAGAAGCCTTACGGATAACATAAACAGTCGATTAACACATATTTTATATGTTATATGGATTACATCCTGTGTTCTTACAATAAAGTAAGCTTGAGAAAAGAAATTGTTATTAAGAAAGTCATAAGAGAAATATGTTTATAGAACTGTATTGTATTTATCAATACTGTAAGTTTACATCATCTGTTTGCAAGATGAACCGTCTGAAATGACAACCACAACCGGAGACCTCAATCTATGGTACATATCAAGCAAGTCAGCTTTTTCTTGTCATGTCATGACTTTTCTCTGCTTCTTGGGAGCACTTCCAGCATCACCAGTGGCAGTTCATATGGGTCCTATGGTGTTATTCAAAGTTTACAGTATTGCACTAAACACGATAAAAAATATGTGAGAACCTTGAAAGATGACTTTTTACTGTGGTGCGCAATATACTGGAGAGGTGAACTGCTCACACGGAGATGATGAGCACCTCACAGATACTCACAACACTTGAGCTCACCCAATAGCAACAGGAGGTGGCTATGACATAGCTGCAGTCGTACAGAACATATAGTTAATTTTCTGCAGCTATGATTTAATACTGCATCTTTCAGTTTCTGTGAACGGCAAATGGTGCCATGTACAGTTTGTAACTGTGTGCACAGATTTGGATACATTTAAACTTTTTATAATTCGTATATATTTTATGGTAGTAAGTGATAAAATAGACTAGTATCTACATACATTTTATGCATTTAAGTCATGCCTTTTTCTTAATTTTGTGATATTTCTAGGCTATGCAGTTCGTCTGTGAATTTTTTCAAATTGTTGCAAATCTCCAAAAATTTCTAATATATTTATTGAAAAAAAATCCATGAATAAGTAGATCCGTGCAGTTCAAAACCATCTTGTTCAAGAGTCAACTGTATATAGAAAAGTACACAAATCGTAAGTATGTAATTCGATGAATATCACAAGGTGAATGTAACTGTGGACCCAGTATTTACGTAATTACTATTCCCGGAAGAGCCCCACTCATGGCCTTCCCCATCTCTCCTCCCTGCCTCCTTCTTCAAGGTAACCACAGGCCTGACTTCTGGTACCACAGATTTGTTTTGCTTGTTTTTGAACTCGATATGGCTGGGATCTTACAGTACATACTCTCTCGTGTCCGATTTTTTTCACTCAACATTATGTTTCTGAAATCTGTTCATGCTGTGCAGCTATGGCTTATTCATTTTCACTGATGTATGGTATTACAGTTTACTCATCTTTTCCACTGCTGTCGAGCATTTGTGTTGTTTCCAGTTTTTGACCATATTTACATTATGATGAATATATGTATACATGTCTTAGGATGTGCATATACGTGTACTTCTATTGGGTATATATGTAGGAATTAAACTGCTGAGCTATAGGATGTGACCATGTTCATTTTTAGTATATAATGCTAAACAGCTTTCCAAAGTGGCTGCACCATTTTAGCACTCCCGCTGGCAGAGTAGCAGAGTTCCCATTGCTCCCCATCTAACATACGATGTTGCTTGTCTTTTAAATTTTAGCCATTCTGGTGGGTGTGTGTTGGTGTCTTAGTGTGGTTTGAATTTACATTTTTCTGGCGATTAATGATGTTGAGCATCATTTCATATATTTTTTGACCATTTGAATATTCTCTTTTGTAAAGTGCCTATTCAAGTCTTTTTTTTAATTTTTATTTTTTTTTGAGACAGGGTTTCACTTTGTTGCTCAGGCTGGAATGCAGTGGCGCAATCACGGCTCACTGCAGCCTCCACCTCCTAGGCTCAAGCGATCCTCCCATCTCAGCCTCTTGAGTAGCTGGGACCACAGGTGCACATACCACCATGCCTGGCTAATTTTTTGTTTTTTTGTAGCAATGGAGTTTCATCATGTTGACCAGATTGGTCTTGAACTCCTGGGCTCAAGTGATCCTCCTGCCTCATCCTCCCAAAATGCTGGGATTACAGGCATGTGCCACTGTGTCTGGGGAAGTTTTTTTTAATTGAGTTGTTTGCCTTTTTTCGTGTAGAAGATCTTCATGTATTCTAGATCCAAGCCCTTTGTTAGTTAGATGTGGCTTGCCCTTTTTCTCTCTTAATGATGTCTTTTGATGAGTAGAAACTCTCCATTTCAAAATAATCTAGTTTATTCATCTTTACTTTTATGGTTAGTGCTTCTGAGTCCTGTTTAAGAAATCTTTGTGAATTTATCTCAAATTGTGAAAATAGTCTCCTATACAATTTTCTTTTACAAGCTTATTTTTGAAGCTTGGCTGTTTTACATTTAGTATTTAGATGTATAGTCCATCTAAATACGAGGAGGCTCTCTGGATTTGGTTTTTATGTTTGGTGTGCAGAAGGTGTCAAGTTTCTTTTTTCCGACATTGTATAGAAATCCGATTGAGCCAGCAGCTTCTATTGACCACGTTGTCCTTCCCCCACTTTTCTGAAGGGCCACCTTTACCATAAATCAATTAAATAAATGGCTCTATTTCTGGATTCTCTGTTCTGTTCCATTAGCCTATTTGTTTATCTTTGTGCCAGTTTCACATTAATTACTGTAGCTTTATAATAAGTCTTGATATCTACCTTATTCTTCAGGATCACCCTGGCTATTCTTGGCTGTTTGAATTTTAATATAAATTTTAGAACCAGCTTGGTAATTTCCACAGACAAAAAGAACCTGCTGGGATTTTGATTTGGATTGCACTGAATCTCTAGATAAATTTGGGAAGAAAAATTTGCAACTTCCAGCTTCTAGATAAATTTGGAATTTCTAAATTCACATTTGGAATCTTCTGACCCATGAATATGGCTTATCTCTCAATTCATTTAGGTCTTCCTTAATTTATCTCAATTTTCTTTTCCTTCATCCCTCCCTTCCTTCCTTTCCTTCCTTTCCTTCCTTTCCTTCCTTTCCTTCCCTTCCCTTCCCTTTCCTTCCTTCTTTCCTTCCTTCCTTCCTTCCCTTCCTTCCTTTCCTTCCTTCCCTTCCCTTCTCCTTCCTTCCTTCCTTCTTTCCTTCCCCTCTCTTTCTCTCTCTCTCTCTTTCCTTTCTTCTTTCTTTTTTGAGACAGAGTCTTGCTCTGTTGCCCAGGCTGGAATGCAGTGGTGTGATCTCTACTCACTGCAACCTCTGCCTACCAGGTTCAAACAGTCCTCCTCCCTTAGCCTCCCAAGTAGCTGGGACCACAGATGTGCGCCACCACACCTGGCTAAGTTTTGTATTTTTAGTCAAGACGGGGTTTTACCATGTTGGCCAGGCTGGTCTCAAACTCCTGACCTCAACTGATCCACCCACCTTAGCCTCCCAAAGCGCTGGAATTACAGGTGTGAGCCACCATGTCCAGCCTGTCTAGCAATTTTCTTTGTTGAGGTCTTGTATATCTTGTGTTAGATTTATCCGTATGTATTTGATGTTATTCTATGTTACCATAAATGATATCTAAAAAATTCCCTTTACTGTTTATTGTAGATAAGTATATAATTGAGTTTTGAGTGTTCCTGTTATATCTACTGACCTTGTCAAATTAACTTTTTAATGGTCTAGTTTGTTTTTAGATTCTTTTTGATTTCTGATTATCACTTGTGAATAATAAGTTTTATTTATTCCTTTCAATTCTTATATATTTTATTTCTTTCATCCCTGCTTACCCACTAGAGGTAATCTTATGTTTGTCATTCTCTTGCTTTAAAATAATTTTTAATCAAATAAATAGTTTTTATCACGTGTCTATGTGTGCCTAAACAATATATTCCATTTTAGTGGATTTTGAACTTTATTCGGTATACTGAGATTTGCTTTTTAAATTCAGCATTATGTTGCTGGATGTTGCAGGTGTCTCTAGTTCATTCATTTTCACTTCTTTGTAATATTCATCATATGAATGAATATGGCCCCTGCCCCCCTTGTTCACTGCTGCATTCCTCAGGACCTAGTGCAGGGTCAGGCATGGCATGGCAGGTCAATAAGGCTTTGATTGAATAAGAACTGCAAGGAGTGAGGTAGACACCACGAAAGCCCA
Organism: Homo sapiens; assembly: GCF_000001405.40. NCBI lineage: Eukaryota > Metazoa > Chordata > Mammalia > Primates > Hominidae > Homo > Homo sapiens. The sequence goes on along the minus strand of NC_000001.11, from coordinate 53,645,854 downwards.
GCTCTACTTCCTGCAAGCAAGGAGTCAGGTAGACTCTTGAAAATCCAGCTCTGCTGCCCCCTAAATTCTATGAACTTGGGAAAGTTACTTAGCTTCTCTGAGCACCAGTGTTTCCTCTTGAGTACAATGGAGATGAAAACACTTATTACTTGTGGTTACCAGGAGATGGCTTACCATGAAACAACTTAGCACAGATGGCATAGCCCTTCTTCCCATGTTGGCCTGTACCCCAAGGGTTGTGGTTCATAGGGGGTCTTGCTGTTGGGCAGGCCATCCCCTCGGCCATCCCCTATCACCCTGGCCTGCCATCCTGCTTGCTGAGTATGGATAAGAGAGTAAGCGGGAGGAGTCATTCCCCATTCAGTAAGCATTTGCTAGGCCCCTGCTGGGTGTCACAACTGTTGTAGACTTCGGGGACTGATCAGTGACTACAATAGACCAACATCTTCTTCCAGAAGCCTGTCTTCTAGTGGGTAGAGACAGATGGAAACACAGGAAATATACAGTGTGTCATTTGGTAACAAGTGAAACAGAAACAAATGAGCAGGGAAGGGAGACAGGAAGTGTTGGAGAGGGCTATTTCGTGTTTGGAATAGCACGACCAGGAAAGGCCCCAATGTTCATGCAATGTGTGAATCAAGATCCGAAATATGGAAGGACCCATGCAGATGTCTGGGGGGGAGAAGCATTCTAGGCAGAGCGCACACATCAATTGCAAAGTCCCCGAGGCCAGACTGTGCTTGGCATGAGTGCGGAATAGCCAGGAGGCCGGTGTGGCTGGCGTGCGTTTGTTTAGTTATTTCACAGACATTTCCTATGCACATGCCAAGCCCTGTTCTTAGGCACTGAGGAGAGATAATAGTGATCAATTCAGATTAAGTGCTGCCCTCATGGACCTTAGATTTTTGTGGAGGAGATAAACCGTAAACCAACAAATAAGCGAGACAGTCTGCTTTCAGCACAGCAGCCTGCGTGATCCTTTTATACCAGTGGAATCTGTCGCTCCTCTGCAAATAATACTTGCTGTTGTGGAGTGAGCCCCTGTGGCACTCAGGATGCAATTCTGGATCCTCTCTGTGGCCTGTGGGATGATGCCGGACCCCGGGGCCC